>NC_000011.10:105051212-105354242 GCF_000001405.40 Homo sapiens | reverse complement strand
AGAACTTCTAAGAACCTTGAAATTTTCAGGATAATGAGTATCTCTGGTATGCTAATGAGATGACTGGTGGCTGGATTCTCTAGACAGCTTTATAATTGGAAAGAGCAAAACATGATTAAGAATTGGCACTGCCAATTTAATCAATAATGCTTATGTAATGGAACATCTATAAAAACACTAATAAGGGGGTTAGGGGAGCTTCCAGGTTGGTGAACACATACACATGACAGGAGGGTGGCTCCACCGAACTCCACCAGGACACAAGTGTCCTGAATTCAGGACCCTTCTGGATCTCACCTACGTACCTCCTGATCTTGCTGTTCATCTGTATCTTTTATAATAAACTGGTATTAGTAAGTAAAGTGTTTCTGTGATTTTTGTCAGCTGTTTTAGGAAGTTATCCAAACTGAGAATGGGTTCATGGGAACCCCCAGTTCATACACAAATTAGACAGAAGTGTAGGTAGCCTAAGAACTCACTACTTGAAATTGGCCTCGGTCGTTCAGAACTGAGCCCCTTTGTGAGGTCCATCCTGTAATAATTCCAGGTAGCTAGTGTCAGAATTGAATTAAATTGTAAGACACTCAGAATTGCTTGGTGCAGAATATCCACATGTATGTCAAATGGTCAAATAGAGATAAAACACGATGAAAATAACAAGAAAAAAGGTATAAATACAATGAATAGAACAGACAAACATTAGTGATGAACATGAGTAGAAATGGTTATCTAAGCTAAAATAAGTATTCTGAAAAGATTAATAGCCAAACGACCCTGGTGATGATGAAAAAATAGGCACAAATGAACTTAAAAGGAAAAGGCGAATGGGATAATTTTCTGTAAAGTAATAAATTGTCAAATTGGCTCAAATAGAAGTAGAAAACCTAATAAGTTCACAAACCGTAATAGTCATCATTTTAAAGTGTACAGCTCAGTGGGTTTTAGTATATTCACAAATTGTGTAACCACAATTACAAATTCCAGAATATTTTCATCAATCCAGAAGAAACCCATTATCCATTCACAGGTATTTCTGATTCCCTTGTCCCACAGCCTCTGGCATCCATTGATCTATTGTTTCTTTTAACAGATTTGTCTATTCTGGACATTTTATATAAATAGATCATAAACTAAGGGCCTCTTTGGTTTATTTCATTTAGCATAATGTTTTCAAGGTTCATTTATGTTGTGGCATGTTTCAGTGCTTAATTTCTTACTATTGCTGAGTAATAACCGATTGTATGCATGTAGTAATTTAAAAATCCAGCTCACCATAGGTGGCACGTGCCCACCTACATGGTAGTCCCAGCTACATGGTAAGCTGAGGCAGGAGGATTGCTTAAGCCCAGAAGTTCTGGGCTGTACTGCACTATGCCAACTGGGTGTCTGCACTGTTTGGCATCAATATGTTGACCTCTCAGGAACAGGGGACCACCAGATTGGCGTAAGGAAGATTGAACTGGCCCAAGACGGCAATGGAGTATGCCAAAACTCCCATGCTGATCAGTCTGGCATCATGTTTGTGAACAGCCACTGCATTCCAGCCTGAGTAACATAGCTGTATGCTGTCTCTAAAAAAATATAAAAATAAAAATAAGTCCGTTCATGTGTTAATGGACACTTTGTTTCTATCTATTGGCTATTGTGGACAATTCAATAATAGCAGTGTTCAGTGATCTGAGTCCCTGTTTTCAATTTTTAAAGTAAATACCTATAAGTAGATCATATGTTAATTTTATAGTTATTATTTTGAGGAACCACCAAATTGTAACACAGCAGCTGTGCCACCAGCAATGCATGACGTTTCCAATTTCTCCATTACCTTGACAACACTTCTTAATTTCTATTTTTTGATATCCTAGTAGGTATGAAGTGGTATGTCATTGTGGTTTTAATTTGCATTTTCCTGATGGCTAATAATGTCAAGTATTTTTATACGATTTTTTTGACATTAGTGTATTGTGTTTGGAGAAACGTCTATTAAAGTTTTTTGCTGATTTTTTTATTGAGTTGCCTTTTTTGTTGAGTTTTGTGAGCTCTTAATATGTTCTGAATATTGAACCTTTAGCAGGCAAATAATTTGCAAATGTATTCTACCATTCTGTAGTATTTTGTCTTTCTTGATGGTCTTTAATACTCAGAAGTTTTTAATTTGAATGAAGTCTTATTTATTTATTTATTTATTTTCATGCTTTGGTGTCCTATTTGAGAATTCATTGTTAAATTCGAGGTTAAATTACTAAATCTGGTGTTAAATTATGAACACATATCACCTATTTTAAGAATTTGATGGCTTTATCTCTTATATTAATTTTGTTAATCAGCTTTTAGTTAATTTGTGTATATGAAGGGAGGTAGGAATCCACTTTATTTCTTTGCACAGTGGAAATCTAGTTGTAATAACACCATGTGTTGAAGACATCACTGTTTTTTACCCCATTGAATGGACTTGGTGCCCTTGTTGTAAATAAATTCTCCATAAATGTGTGAATTTAACTCTGGGCTCTTTTTTTGTTTACATTGGTCTATAGGTCTATCATTATACTGGTATTACAATATTTTCATGACTTTAGCTTTGATGACTACTTAGCTTTAAAACAGAAAATTATGAATTCACTATGTTGTTATTTTGGCTATTCAGGGATACTGGAGCAAATGTGACTCTTGTTATACTTTAGCAAGGAGACTGGCAGCATTTTTCCCTTGCCCTAGAGATTTGTGGAACTTTGAACTTGAGGGAGATGATTTAGGGTATCTGGTGAATAAATTCCTAAGCAGCAAAGCATTCAAGAGGTGACTTGGTTGCTGTTAAAAGCATTCAGTTTTAAAAGGGAAACAAAGCATAAAAGTTGCAAAAGGAAAATTTGCAGCCTGATGATGAGATAGAAGAGAAAAACCCATTTTCTGAGGAGAAATTAAGCTGGGTGCAGAAATCTGCATAAGTAACAAGGGGCCAAATGTTAATCACCAAGACAATGCAGAAAATGTCTCCAGGACATGTCAGAGACCTTTGCCACAGTCCCTCCCATTGCAGGCCTGGAGGCCTAGGAGGAAAAACTGGTTTCCTGGCCTCCCTGCTTTGTGCAGCCCTAGGGACTTGGTGCCCTGCATCCCAGCTACTCTAGCCATGGCTAAAAGTTGCCAAGGTGCAGCTTGAGCTGTGGTTTCAGAGGATGCAAGCTCCAAAACCTTGACAGCTTCCATGTGGTGTTGAGCCTGTGGGTACACAGAAGTCAAGAATTGAGGTTTGGGAACCTCCAGCTAGATTTCAGAGGATGTATGGAAATGTCTGATGTCCAAGTAGAAATTTGCTGCAAAGGTAGGGCCCTCATGGAGATTCTCTGCTACAGCAGTGCAGAAGGGAAATGTGAAGTTGAAGCCCCAACACAGAGTCCACACTGGCACACCACCTACCCAGTGGAGCTGTGAGAAGAGGGCCACTATACTCCAGACCCCAGAATGGTAGATCCACCGACAGCTTGCACCATGTGCCTGGAAAAGCCACAGACATTCAACCCCAGCCCATGCAAACTGCTGGGAGGGAGGCTGTACCCTGCAAAGCCACAAGGGTGGAGCTGCCCAAGACCATGGGAACCCACTTGGGAACCATCAGCATGACCTGGATGTGAGACATGGAATCAAAGGAGATCATTTTGGAGCTTTAAGATTTGACTGACCTGCTGTATTTCAGACATGCATGGGGCCTACAGTCCCTGTGTTTTGGCCAATTTCTCCCATTTGGAATGGCTGTATTTACCCAATGCTTGTACCCCTGTTGTATCTAGGAAGTAACTAACTTGCTTTTGATTTTACAGGCTCATAGGTGAAAGGGATTGCCTTATCTCAGATGAGACTTTGGACTGTGAACTTCTGAGTTAATGCTGAAATGAGTTAAGACTTTGGGGGACTGTTAGCAAAGCGTGATTTGTTTTAAATGTGAGAATATGAGATTTGGGAGGGGCTAGAAGTGAAATGATATGGTTTGGCTGTGTCCCACCCAAATCTCATCTTGAATTGTAGCTCCAATAATTCCCAAGTGTTGTGGAAGAGATCTTGAGGGAGGTGCTTAAATCGTGGGGGCTGTTCCCCCCATATTGTTATTTTGGTAGTGTATAAGTCTCACAAGATCGGATGATTTTTTTTAAATTTTTTAAAATTTTTTTTTTGTGGATTTCTTAATCTTTTTATTTATTTTTTAATGTTTATCAAATGCTTTTGTTTTTTATTATTTTATTTTATTATTATTATACTTCAAGTTTTAGGGTACATGTGCACAATGTGCAGGTTAGTTACATATGTATACATGTGCCATGCTGGTGTGCTGCACCCATTAACTCGTCATTTAGCATTAGGTATATCTCCTAATGCTATCCCTCCCCCCTCCCCCCACCCCACAACAGTCCCCAGAGTGTGATGTTCCCCTTCCTGTGTCCATGTGTTCTCATTGTTCAATTCCCACCTATGAGTGAGAATATGCAGTGTTTGGTTTTTTGTCCTTGTGATAGTTTACTGAGAATGATGATTTCCAGTTTCATCCATGTCTCTAGAAAGGACATGAACTCATCATGTTTTATGGCTGCATAGTATTCCATGGTGTATATGTGCCACATTTTCTTAATCCAGTCTATCATTGTTGGACATTTGGGTTGGTTCCAAGTCTTTGCTATCATGAATAGAGCCCCAATAAACATACATGTGCATGTGTCTTTATAGCAGCATGATTTATAGTCCTTTGGGTATATACCCAGTAATGGGATGGCTGGGTCAAATGGTATTTCTAGTTCTAGATCCCTGAGGAATCGCCACACTGACTTCCACAATGGTTGAACTAATTTACAGACCCACCAACAGTGTAAAAGTGTTCCTATTTCTCCACATCCTCTCCAGCACCTGTTGTTTCCTGACTTTTTAATGATTGCCATTCCAACAGGTGTGAGACGGTATCTCATTGTGGTTTTGATTTGCATTTCTCTGATGGCCAGTGATGGTGAGACTAAAGAGCTTCTGCCCAGCAAAAGAAACTACCATCAGATTGAACAGGCAACCTACAAAATGGGAGAAAATTTTCGCAACCTACTCATCTGACAAAGGGCTAATATCCAGAATCTACAATGAACTCAAACAAATTTACAAGAAAAAAACAAACAACCCCATCAAAAAGTGGGCGAAGGACATGAACAGACACTTCTCAAAAGAAGACATTTATGCAGCCAAAAAACACATGAAAAGATCTGATGATTTTAAAAGGGGAAACCCCTTTCACTTGGCTCTCATTCTGTCTTGCCTAGTGCCATGTAAGACATGACTTTGCTCCGCTTCACCTTCTGCCATGATTGTAAGGCCTCCCCAGCCATGTGGAACTGAGAGTCCATTAAACTTTTTCTGTATAAATTACCCAGTCTCAGGTATGTATTTATTAGCAGTGCGAGAATAGACTAATACACTTTTAAGTGAAATTGCTTTCCTAAATGTCTTTTTTTAATTTTTCATTGCAGGTGTATGACATCAAAACTAAAGTTTTTGTATTAATTTCGTACCTTGTAACTTTGCTGAATTTATTTGTAGCTCTAGGAGTTTTCTTTGGGTTTTTTAGAATTTTCTATATATAAGATCATCTCGTCTTCCAATGGAGGAATTTTATTTCTTATTTTCCAATTTAGACATCTTTAATTTATTTTTCTTGTCTAATTGCTCTGGGCAGATCTTTCAGTACAATAATAAATAATAGTAGTGAAAGTGAACATTCTTGTCTTTTTCTTCATATTAGGAGGAAAGCTTTCAGTCTTTACCATTGAGTAAAATATTAATAATAGCTGTGGGTTTTTCATCAATGTCTTTTATCATCTCTTTTGTTCCTAGCTTTCCAAGTATCTTATCCATGAAAGGGTGTTGTATTTTGCCAAACGTCTTTTCTTCAAAAATTAAGATGATTTTTTCTTTAAAATCTGTTCTATTATTAAGGTGTATTACCTAGCTTAATTTTTTTATGTTAAGCTGCTCTTGCATCCCTGGAATAAATCTTACTTGGTCGTGGTTTATAATCACTTACTATGCTATTGGATTCAGTTTGCTAATATTTTCTTGAGGACTTTTCTTGTCAATATCCATAAGTTATATTGGTTTATAATTTTTTATGATGTCTTTACTGGCTTTGGTATCAGGGTAATGCTGGCCTCTAGAATGAATTAGGAAGTGCTTTGTCCTCTTGGTTTTTTGGAACTATTTGAGAAAGATTGAGATTCGTTTTCTAAATATTTGGTCGAATTCACCAGTAAAGTCATTTTTTCCTAGAATTTATTTTTAAAAGGATATTCATTATTCATACATGACTTTACTCATTATAGGTCTATTGAGTTTTATTTTTATTTTTATTTGCTTTTATGTAGTGTATTGGGGTCCTCCAGAGGAAAAGAATCAACAGTTATGGATATAGATACAGATATAGATCATTGTGGTATCTCCTGGTAGAAGCATTCCTACTTTGGAATTAACACCTCTAGATCAACACAGCATAACATCACAGTTATATAAAGCAAAAGATTTGCTAGTGTATCACTAAGGGTAATAATGACCGATGGCGCTCTCATTTCCACCCCTTAATCCTGGATTGTGAATCCTGACTGTGGAAGAAATGGCATTATATATTGGATGCTAATTTAGAATATTATACAGGTTTCTGGAGAAACTTGCCATAGCCATGCAAGGTATTTACATCTAGCTGGTACTGTGACTGTTCTTCAGTAAATAGGCCATTCCACTATTTTATCAAGCCAGCTGTTTTAGGATGATGGATGTCATGATAACACCAGTGAACTACATGAGCACAAGCCCATTGTTGCACTTCATTTGCTGTGAAGTAAGTTACTTCGTCGAAACAATGTTGTGTAGAGTACCATGACAGTGGATAAAATGTTCTATACATCCACCAATGTTAGTTTTCATATGCACTGTTTGCAGAGAAGGCAAATCCATACCCAGAGTCTTTTCCAGTAAGTACAAAACAGTTTTCCTTCCATGATGAAAACGATTCAATGCAATCAGCCACCAGGTAGCTGGCTGATCACCCTGGAGAATGTTGTGATTTTGGAGACTCATTGTTGATCTCAGCTTCTAGCATATTAAGCTCTTCGGAGTGGCTGTAACCAGGGAGGCCTAAGTGAGCGTAAGTCCATGTTGCTGATCCCATGTATACTCCCCATCCCTGCCACCATGGCCATTTTGTTCTCGAGTAATTGGGCATTGACAAAAGTGGTTGGAAAAGGAGACTGACTTGTATCCACTGAAAGGATCATCCTTTTCACTTTATTTTTAAAATCCTTTTCTGCTGAGGTCATACTTTGGCGAGCATGCACATGAAAAGGGAGGACTTACTTCTGCCATTTTGCTAATTGTTATCTATATGTCTAATAACTTTTGTCCATCTTTTCTCTATTATTGTCTTCTTTTGTGTTTAATTGAATTATTTGTAGTGACACATGTTGATTTCCTTTTCATTTCCTTTTGTGTATTTATTAATAAATTTTTGGGGTTACCACTTGGATTACAGTTAACATACTGAATTTATAACATCTAGTTCAAATTGATACAAACTTAACTTAAATAATATATACAAACTCTGGTCCTTTACAGCTCCATCTCACGGTCTCTCTTTATATTGTTGTTTTTATAGATATTTTATATGTTGTATGCCCAATAAACTTATAATTTTTATTCATTTATCTTTTAAATCCTATGGAAAACAAAAAGTAAAATTATAAACCAAAAATAATATTATATTGGCTTTTATATTTGGCTGCGTATTTATCATTACCGGAGAGATTTGTTCAAACAATTTTGAATTACTGCCTATTGTTTTTTTTATTTTGTCCTTAATGGATTCCTTTAGCATTTCTTGTAGGGCAGATCTAGTGGTAATAAACACACTCAACCTTTGGTTTTTGGAAATGTCTTAAATTCTTTCTCATTTTTGAAGGACAGTTTGCCCGATGTAAAATTCTTATTTGATAGTTTTCTTTTAGCGCTTTGTCATTCCACTGACTTTCAGCATCCATGATTTCTGAAGAAAAATTGCCTATTGATCATACTCTGGATTTCTTAACTGCATGATTAGTTACATGTCTTTTGCTGCTTTTGAGACATTATCTTTGACTTTTAACAGTTTGATTAAAATCTGTTTTGGTGTGTGTCTCCTTTAGGGTTTTACACTTGAAATTAATTGAGCTTTTTGGATTTGCAAATTGATATCTTTAATCAAGGTTAAAATATTTTCAGCCATTATTCTTTAAAATATTATTCTGCCTTTTTGTTCCTCTTCTTTTACTGGTACTCAATAATGCATACATTGATCTGCTTGATGGTGTCCTACACGTCACTTAAGTTTTGTTCATTTTTCTTCATTTTGTTTTCTTCATGCTCTTCAAATTTAATAATCTCAATTGTAATATTTTCAGGTGTGCTTATTTGTTCTCCTTCCTGCTCAAATCTGTTGCTGAGATCCATTAGTACATTTTTTGTACCACTTGTGGTTTTAGCATTAGATTTTTCATTTGGCCCTTGTAAAAAATTAATTTATATATCTATTGATATTATAATTTTTCATTCATTTATTTTTCTGGTGTTATTTAGTTATTTGTCTATGTTTTCCTTTAGCTTCTTGTCCTCATTTAAAACTATTTTTTTAAGTCTCGGTCTAGTAATTTTGATGTCTGTATTTTATCAGGAATGATGTCTGTCAATTCATTTATTTTACTTTAAATGGACCACACTTTGCTGTTTCTCCACATGCCTTGTAATTATTTGTTAAAAACTGAAGATTTAAACATAATACTGTGATAACTCTAGGTTAGATTCTACCCCTTTCTCAGAATTTTTTTATTTTTGTTTTGTTTTGTTTTTATATTTGAAGTCTGTAGTTTTTTGTTTATTTAGTGAATTTCCTAAACTTCATTTTTCTTTTTGCTAAGATTATATTATTTGTTGGGTGTGGTTACTGAGGTCTCTGTTTTTTAGATTGTGTTTTTCTAGTGTTTGGACAGTGATTACCTTGAGTTCCAAAGACTGAAAAACAAGACACAAAGAAAGAAACATCTCTGCTTGTTTTTGAAGATTGGCTCAGTGCCAGGACACTCATTCAATGCTTAGCCAGAATTGCTAGGAGACTATGGACCAACCAGAGGTTAAAGCTGAGGGTCTCCTCAGGTTTTTTTCTTAGCATGATTCTTGCTTTGGACATGCACATGTTTTTCTAAATTTTTTCATATACATTGATGCTTTTGAATGTTCTAATTTCCTGAAGATCGCCCCAGCATTTGCTTTCAGGTTCTTAGAGGGTCTAATGTATATGTCAACCATAAACTTTTGCTCCAGGTGTCTTGGGTAGTCAGTTTGACGTGCAGAGTTTCAAAACAAGGCCAGCCCCATTTCTGGCCCGAGTTGAGTTAGGCAAAAAATGACAAGCAACATAAACACTACATACATATTTATTGTAGGAATGAATTCCCATTGCCTTTTGTCATCTGCACACCTACCAACATATAAAACAATATGGTATCATCAATATCTTTGTGCACCAAAATTATTTCTTTTTCTCAGGCTTTTAAGCAAAATTCTGAAGATGGGGAGAGTAAACATGGAGAAAAGGAGAAAATTCACACACTTTTTTTCTATTTAATATTTCAGGATAAAATGAGGACAAATAGGATTCTTTTCTCATTATGAAAGAAAAAAATGCTTTCTCCATTAATATGCATAAACATGACAAAATGAATACAAAGAATAATCAAACGGATTGCTATTGTTCTCAAGAAAAGATACCAGGTATTATGTCAAGAGAAATAAGATTGCTAATACTGTGTCACCAAATGCTTTTTAAAAAAATTTTACTTTAAGTTCTGGGATACATTTGCAGAACATGCAGGTTTGTTACAAATGTATACATGTGCCATGGTGGTTGGCTGCACCTATCAACTCGTCATTTAGGTTTTAAGCCCCACATGCATTATATATTTCTCCTAAGGCTCTCCCTCCTCTTGACCCACAGCCCCCCGACAGGCCCCCGTGTGTGATGTTCCCCTCCTTGTGTCGATGTGTTTTCATTGTTCAACTCCCAGTTCTGAGTGAGAACATGAGGTATTTGGTTTTCTGTTCCTTTGTTAGTTTGCTGAGAATGATGGATTCCAGCTTCATCCATGTCCCTGAAAAGGACATGAACTCATTCTTTTTCATGGCTGCACAGTATTCCATGATGTATAGGTGCCATATTTTCTTTATCCAATCTATCATTGATGGACATTTGGGTTGGCTCCAAGTCTTTGCTAACGTAAATAGTGTTGGAGCAAACATATGTGTGCATGTGTCTTTATAGTAGAATAAGTTATAACCCTTTAGGTATATACCCAGTAATGGGATTGCTGGGTCAAATGGCATTTCTGATTATAGATCCTTGAGGAATTGCCACACTATCTTACCCAATGGTTGAGCTAATTTACACCCCCAGAAGTGTAAAATCTTTCCCATTTCTCCACCTCACCAGCATCTGTTGTTTTCTGATTTTTAATGATCACCATTCTAACTGGTGTGAAATGTTATCTCATTGTGGTTTTGATTTGCATTTCTTTAATGACCAGTGATGATGAGCTCTTTTTCATATGTTTGTTGGCCACATAAATGTATTTTTTTTGAGAAGTGTCTGTATATATCCTTTGCCCACTTTTTGATTGGGTTGTTTGTTTTTATTCTGATAAATTTTTTAAAGTTCCTTGTAGATTCTGGATATTAGATCTTTGTCAGATGGGTAGATTGCAAAAATTTTTTACCATTCTGTATATTGCCTGTTCACTCTGAAGATAGTTTCTTTTGCTCTGCAGAAGCTCTTTAGTTTAATTAGATCCCATTTGTCAATTTTGGCTTTTGTTGCAATTGCTTTTGGTGTTTTAGTCATGAAGTTTTTGCCCATGCCTGTGTCCTGAATGATATTGCCTATCTTTTCTTCTAGGATTTTTATGGTTTTAGGTTTTACATTAAAGTCTTTATTCCATCTTGTGTTAATTTTTGTATAAAGTGTAAACAAGAGGTCCAGTTTCAGTTTTCTGCATATAGCTAGCCAGTTTTTCCAGCACCATTTATTAAATAGAAAATCCTTTCCCCATTTCTTATTTTTGTCAGGTTTGTCAAAGATCAGATGGTTGTAGATGTGTGATGTTATTTCTGAGGCCTCTGTTCTGTTTCATTGGTCTATATATCTGTTTTGGTACCAATACCAAGGTGTTTTGGTTACTGTATCCTTGTAGTGTAGTTTGAAGTCAGGTAGTGTGAAGCCTCCAGCTTTGTTCTTTTTGCTTAGGACTGTCTTGGCTATATGGGCTCCACCTCTATGCAAATAAACTAAAAAATCTAGAAGAAATATATAAATTCTTGGACACATACTCTCTTCCAAGACTAAACCAGGAAGAAGTCAAATCTCTGAATAGACCAGTAACAAGTTCTAAAATTGAGGTAGTAATTAATAGCCTACCAACCAAAAACAAGTCCAAGACCAGAAGGATTCACAGCCAAATTCTACCAGATGTATAAATAGGAGCTTGTACCATTCCTTCTGAAACCATTTCAAACAGTAGAAAAAGAGGGACTCCTCCCTAACTCATTTTATGAGGCAAGCAACATCCTGATACCAAAATCTGGCAGAGACACAAAATAAAAAAGAAAATTTCAGGCCAATATCCCTGATGAACATAGATGTGAAAATCTTCAGTAAAATAGTGGCAAACCGAATCCAGCAACACATCAAAAAGCGTATCAACCACGATCAAGTTGGCTTCATCCGTGGGATGCAAGGCTGTTTCAGCATATGCAAATCAATAAACATAATTCATCACATAAACAGAACCAATGACAAAAACCACACGATTATCTCAATAGATGCAGAAAAGGCCTTCAATAAAATTCAACATCCCTTAATGCTAAAAACTCTCAATAAACTAGGTATTGATGGATGGAACATATCTCAAAATAATAACAGCTATTTATGACAAATCCATAGCCAGTATCATATTGAATGGGTAAAAGTTGGAAGCATTCCCTTAGAAAACAGGCATAAGACAAGGATCCCCTTTCTCACCACTCCTATTCAACATCACATTGGAAGTTCTGGCCGGGACAACCAGGCAAGAGAAAGAAATAGAGCCTATTCAAATAGGAAGAGAGAAAGTCAAATTGTCTCTGTTAGCAGATGACATGATTGTATATTTAGAAAACCCCATTGTCTCAGCCCAAAAACTCCTTAGGCTGATAAGCAACTTCAGAAATGTCTCAAGATACAAAATCAGTGTGCAAAAATCACAAACACTTATTTACACCAATAATAGAGAGCCAAATCATCAGTGGACTCACATTCACAATTGCTATAAGGAGAATAAAATACCTAGGAATACAACTTGCAAGGGATGTGAAGGACCTCCTCAAGGAGAAATACAAACCACTCCTCACACAAACAAATGGAAAAAAGTTTCTTGCTCATGTATAAGAAGAATCAATATCGTGAACAAGGCCAAACTGCCCAATGTAATTTATAGATTCAATGCTATTCCCATCAAGCTACGGTTGGATTTCTTCACAGAATTAGAGAAAAACTGCTTTTTATACCTACACTAGATGTAGGAATTTAGGGAGAAGGAAGAGTGCCTGACTAAGGTTTCTTTGTTAGGCAATTTGTTGAACTCTGTTATTCAATTATTAAGGTAAGAAACTCAGGATGAGAGTAAGCTTGAGCCACATACAGTCTGAGATGCTCATGGGCGATAATAAAAAAGTATCAAATGTGATTCAACAACTTTATAGTGGTACTTAAGATTGTGAGCTCAAGTCACCTGAGTAAAAAAACCTATTGCACAGTGTTAGCAAATGGTAATCTCAGATCTTTTGAATGCTGAACATTAGTCCGGTGGGTCTATTAGTAAGAAGGGAAACAGAAAGACCCATTGAGAACATCAGAGGAGCATAATTCTTCAATATTTGGTTCTTAATGGCTCCACTGATGGGGAAAGCTTATGTAATATTTATGAAGAATATCTTGATTGGCTTGGACCAATAGGAAGCAGGGTTGGAGGATGCATATTCTACTGTAAAATTGGCAAATAGAGAGATTGGGGGAAAAAAGATGTAGGAACCATATAGCATGAATTAATCCATGCTTATGCAAAAACAGCTTTTTCACATTTTCTAATTCAAAAATTTATAGAGGACTTATATTTTAAGTGTAAAATAAATAATAGTTTGACTTCACAGACCTTTTAATTGAACAAGAAGTGTATGCATTATTTTAGTCATAATGAGAAAAGCTTACTGGTCGTTAATGATGTTTTGCACACTGCCTATTTATTTATTTACTAATCTTTTCGATTTGGCAAAATAGAACCCAAATTCCTTCATGATAATTAAAATTCTAATAATTTATTTTAGCCAAGTGCAACTTAGTGAAAATAAATATATTTGATACTTCTCTGGAGGAGGAAAAGAAGATCTTCAGAAAGCCAGGAGTACTCTTCAAGAAAGAGAGTTTACTACTTTAAAGAATAAAGTTCAAAAATACAGTTTTGTGCATGGTTGAGAGAAGGATCCACATAGTTTGGCTTATCTATTTCTCTGCTAGTGTTATTGCTGTTTTATATTTTCTAGGCATGAAAGTCCAAACAAGAAAGTCTTTGTTCATAACCTTGCTTTCTGTGTATAGCCTATTTTATGACTCCATTGTCAAATTAAACTAGCTGATGATTACATTGGTAATGGTAGATAACTGTGATTTTGGTCCTGATTATAGTATCTTGTTTTACTGATATAAAAATTTGTTTTCTTGGTGACTTATTTGTGCTATATTCCTATGAGGTGTGCTGCTTTTTGCTAGAATAATCTGAAGGTGTGACCAATGGTTCTGGTAGCATGGTCCTGTAATATAATTTAATTTATTCCTAGGCTTTTATTTCAGTCAGGTGCTTTCAGATGAACATTTTGAGTTCTTCTGTTGCTCCATTGATGTAACTCAAGTTCTGCAATACTATTCCCACTTTTTTTGGTGGGTTTCTCTCACCTCAGTTTCTTATTTAAAATATGGCATTGGAACCCTTTTGCTAATATCCACCTACCAAAAAAAATTCATGAATGACATTCTCTCAGACTTATACTCTATTATCTTTCTCTTTATTCAGTATGGTGGTGTGTGTGTGTGTGTGTGTGTGTGTGTGTGTGTGTGTGTGAATCTCAATTATTAACCAAAAATGTGTGTGTGAATCTCAATTATTACTCAAAAATGTGAGATAGTGTCATACTTTTACTAAATTTCAAATAAATTCTTAGTAAGAACACATGTAGCAGCTTCTAATTTGTGAAACTGCAAACTAGAATTATTCAACTTTCACTATATAATTACTACCTCTGAGAATAGAGAAGAAGAAAAACTAACATATTCATGTCTCTAATGAATATTAAATATTATGCTCTGATGGTGTAACAAGAATCCTCTCATAACAGACTTTGTTTACATCACTGGCAGATGTTTGTGTTTACTTAGATGCAATTTATAATGGCATGTTGTGGTGAAGTCCAAAGTTCATTTCTCTGTTATTTTATAATAAACTATAATGTGGTCTTGCATATATATATTTTAAAAATTAACCTTCTTAAATCTGGTGGCCTATAATGTTTCTTTTTTTCTGTCACATTTAGATAAAAAGTAATATTGTTTGACAATAAAAGGTGTTGTATTCAAATGTTCACTTAATGCAAGAATCTCCTGTCTACATACCCTTTGTTAGAAATAAAATTCAGTGTTATAAAGGGTGGTCCATCCAAATCATAAACCAGCTCAAATGGTGAGGATGTTTATTTTGTTTTTATTTTCTTTCATACTAAAACATTTTGATTACTCCAATTAGTCCTTACACGTTACCCTTTCTACATCTTTACACCTTGGTAATTCTTTATTTTATTTTACTTTATTTTTTTTTTAAATTTTAAGTTCTGAGGTAAATGTGCAGGAGTGCAGGACGTGCAGGTTTGTTACATAGGTAAACATGCGCCATGGTGGTTTACTTCACCTATCAATCCACCACCTAAGTAAGCCCAGCATACATTAGTTATTTTTCCTAATGCTCTCCCTCCCACGCCCCACCCCCAGCAACAGGCCCCAGTGTGTGTTGTTCCCCTCACTGTGTCCACGTGCTCTCATTGTTCAGCTCCCACTGATAAGTGAGACTATGTGGTGTTTGATTTTCTGTTCTTATGTTAGTTTGCCGAAGATAATGGCTTTCAGCTACATCCATGTTCCCCCAAAGGACATGATCTCATTTCTTTTTATGGCTGCATAGTATTCCATGGTGTATATGTACCACATTTTCTTTATCCAGTCTATCATTGATGGGCATTTGTGTTCATTCCATATCTTTGCTATTGTGAATAGTGCTGCATTGAATATCTTTGCTATTGTGAATAGTGCTGCATTGAACATGCACATGCACATGCATGTATCTTTATAATAGAATTATTTATATTCCTTTGGGTATATACCCAGTAATGGGATTGCTAAGCCAAAAGGTATTTCTGGTTGTATGACTTTGAGGAATTGTCACACCACCTTCAACAATGGTTGAACTAATTTTCATTCCCAACAGTATAAAAGTGTTCCCTTTTCTCTGCAGCCTCACCACATCTGTTGTTTCTTGACCTTTTGATAATTGCCATTCTGATTGGCATGAGATGGTATCTCATTGTGATTTTGATTTGCATTCCTCTAATAATCAGTGATGTTGAATCTTTTTTCATATGTTTTTTGGCTGAATAAATGTCTTCTTTTGAGAAGTGTCTGTTCATGTCCTTTGCCCACTTTCTAATGGGGTTGCTTGTTTCTTTCTTGTAAATTTGTTTAAGTTCCTTGTAGTCTCTGGATATTAGACCTTTGTCAGATGAATAGGTTGTAAAAATGTTCTCCCATTCTGTAGGTTGTCAGTTCCCTCTGATGATAGTTTATTTTGCTGTGCAGAAGCACTTTAGTTTAATTAGATCCCATTTGTCAATTTTTGCTTTTGTTGCAATTGCTTTTGCCATTTTTGTCATAAAATCTTTACCCATCCCTAAGTCCTGAATGGTATTGCCTAGATTTTTCTTCTAGGGTTTTTATAGTTTTTGGTTTTATATTTAAGTTTTTAACCCATTTGAGTTGATTTTTGTATAAGGTATAAGTAAGGGGTCTAGGTTCAATTTTCTGCATATGTCTAGCATGTTCTCCCAACACCATTTATTAAATAGGGAATTCTTTCCTCATTGCTTGTTTTTGTTAAGTTTGTCAAAGATCAGATGGTTGTACATGTGCAGTCTTATTTCTAAGTTCTCTACTCTGTTCCATTGGTCTATGTGCTTGTTTTTGTACCAGTACTATGCTGTTTTGGTTACTGTAGCCTTGTAGTATAGTTTGAAGTCATGCACCATGATGCCTCCAGCTTTGTTATTTTGGCTTAGAATTGTTCTGGCTATATGAGCTCTTTTTTGTTTCCATATAAATTTTAAAATAGTTTTTTTCTAATTCTGTGAAGAATGTCAATGGTAGTTTGATGGAAATAGCATTGAATCCATAAATTTCTTTGTGCAGCATGGCCATTTTCATGATATTGATTCTTCCTATCCATGAGCATGGAATGTTTTTCCATTTGTTTGTATTCTCTCTGATTTCCTTAAGCAGTGCTTTGTATTTCTCCTTGAAGAGTTCCTTCACTTCCCCTGTTAGCTGTATTTCTAGGTATTTTATTCTATGTAGCAATTGGGAAGGGTGTTCATTTGTGATTTAGCTGTCTGCCTATCTGTTGTTGGTGTATAGGAATGCTTGTGATTTTTGCACATTGATTTTGTATTCTGAGGCTTTGCTGAAGTTGCTTGTCATCTTAAGAAGCTTTTGGTACGAGACGATAGGGTTTTCTAGATATAGGATCATGTCACCTGCAAACAGAGACAGTTTGACATCCTCTCTTTCTATTTGAATATGCTTTACTTATTTCTCTTGCCTGATTGCCTTGGCCAGTACTTCCAATACTATATTGAATAGGAATGGTGAGAAAGGGCATCCTTCTCTTGTGCTGATTTTCAAGGGGAATACTTCCATCTTTTGCCCATTTAGTAAGATATTGGCTGTCATTATTATTTTGAGACACGTTCCTTTAATTCCTAGGTTATTGAGAATTTTTAACATGAAGGGATGATGATTTTTATTGAAGGCCTTTTCTGCATCTATTGATGTGGGTATTTAGTGCTACAAATTTCCCTCTTAACACTGCTTTAGCTGTGTCCCAGAGATTCTGGTATGTTGTCTCTTTGTTCTCATTAGTTTTAGAGAACTTCTTGATTTCTTCCTAAATTGCATCATTCACCTTGGAGTCTTTTAGAAGCAGGCTGTTCAATTTCCATGTAGTTGTGTGGGTTTGAGTTTCTTTGAGTTCTAATTTAATTGTTCTGTGGTCTGAGAGACTGTTCATTATGATTTCAGTTCTTTTGCATTTGCTGAAGAATGTTTCCTTCCAGTATGTGATCAATTTTAGATTAATTGCCATGTGGTGCCAAGAAGAATGTATATTCTGTTGGTTTTTGGTGAAGAGTTCTGTAGATGTCTATCATGTCCACTTGATCCAGAACTGAGTTCAAGTCCTGAATATCTTTGTTAATTTTCTGTCTCAATTATCTGTCTTATATTGACAGTGGGCTCTTGAAATCTCCCACTATTATTGTTTGGGAGTCTAAGTCTCTTTGCAGGCCTCTAAGAACTTGTTTTATGAATCTGGGTGCTCCTGTATTGCATGTATATATATTTAGGATAGTTAGCTCTTCTTATTGAATTAAACCCTTTATCATTATGCAATGCCCTTGTCTTTTTTTGATCTTTGTTGGTTTAAAGTCTGTTTTGTCAGAAACTAGGATTGTTACTCCTGTTTTCCATTTGCTTGGTAAATTTTCCTCCATCTCTTTATTTTGAGCCTATGTGTGTCTTTGCATGTGAGATGGGTCTCTTTAATACAGTCTACTGATGGGTCTTGGCTCTATTCAGCTTGCCATTCTGTGTCTTTTGATTGTGGCATTTAGCTCTTTTACATTTAAGGCTAATATTGTTATATGTGAATTCGGTCCTGTCATCATGATGATCGTTCATTATTTTGCAGACTTGTTAATTAGTTGCTTCATAGTATCACTGGTCTGTGTATTTCAGTGTGTTTTTGTAGTGGCTGGTAATGGTTTTTCCTTTCCATATTCAGTGCTTCCATCAGGAGCGGTTGGGTAGTGATGAATTCAGCATTTGCTTGCCCAAAAAGGACTTTATTTCTCCTTTGCTTATGAAGCTTACTTTGTTTGGATATGAAATTCTAGGTTGGAAATTCTTTTCTTTAAGAATGTTGAATATCGGCCCCCCGATCTCTTCTGGCTTGTAGGGTTTCCACTGAGAGTTCTGTTGTTAGTTTGATGGCCTTCCCTTTGTGGGTGCTCTGGTCTTTCTCTCTGACTGCCCTTTACATTTTTTACTTCATTTTGACCTTGGAAAATCTGATGATTATGTGCCTTGGGGTTGTTCTTCTTGAGTATCTTACTGGGGTTCTCTGGATTTCCTGAATCAGAATTCTAGCATATCTTACTAGGTTGGGGGAGTTCTCAACGATATCCTGAAGTATGGTTTCCAATTTGATTCCATTGTCCCTGTCTCTTTCAGGTACCCCAATCAGTCATAGGTTTGGTCTTCTTACACAATCCCATCATTCTTGAATGTTTTTTCATTCCTTTTCATTCTTATTTTTCTAATCTTGTCTACCTGTCTTATTTCAGCAAGATAATCTTCAAGCTCTGAGATTCTCTCCTCTGCTTGGTCTATTTGGCTGTTGATACTTGTGGTTGCATTGTGAAGTTCTTGTGTTGTGTTTTTCACCTCCATCAGGTCATTTGTGTTCCTCTCTAAACTGGTTATTCTGCTTAGCAGGTTCTGTAATGTTTTATCATGGTTCTTAGCTTCTCTGTATTGGGTTAGAACAGACTCCTTTAGTTCAACAAAGTTTGTTATTACCCACTTTTTGAAGCCTACTTCTGTCAATTCATCCATCTCAGCCTCAGCCCAGTTCTGTTCCCTTGCTGGAGAAGTGTTGTGATCACTTGAAAGAGAAGAGGCACTCTGGTGTTTGACTTTTCGGCATTTTTGTGTTGATTTTATTCTCATCTTTGTGGGTTTATTTACCTCTGATTGTTGAGGCTGCTTACCTTTGAGGTTTTTGTAGGGTCTTTTTGTTGATGTTGTTGTTGTTGCTTTCTGTTTGCTTGATTTTCTTTTAACAGTCAGACCCATCTTCTGCAGGGCTGCTGTGGTTTGCTGGGGTTCCACTCCAGACCCTATTCACCTGGGTCTCTCCCGCACCTGGAGGTATCATCAGTGGAGGCTGCAGAACAGCAAAGATGGTTACCTGCTGCTTCTTCTGGGAGCTCTGTCCCAGAGGGGCACCTACCTGATGCTGGCCAGAACTCCCCTCTGTGAAGTGTCTGGCAACTCCTGTTGGGAGGTCTCACCCAGTCAGGAGGCACGGGATCAGGGACCCACTTAAAGAAGAATTCTGGCTGCTCCTTGGCCGAGCAGGCGTGCTGCACTGGAGGGAATCCCACTCATCTGGACTGTCCAGATTCCTCAGAACCAGCAGGTGGGAAAGACTAAGTCCACTGAACCAAAGACCGTGGCCACCCCTCTCCCCAGGGGCTCCATCCTGAGGGATCAGAGTTCTGCCCATAAACTCCTGACTGGAGTTGCTGAAATTCCCACAGGGAGGCCGTGCCCAGTGACGAGGGATTGATCTGAGTCTCACCTAAGGAAACAGTCTGGCCAGGATCTGTCATAGCCACGGTGCTGCACTGTGGGGAGTTCCTCCTGGTCCAAACTGCCCAGTCTCTCCGACACTGACAGGGGAAAATGGCTGACTGGAGCAGCAGTGATGGCAGCTGCCCCTCCGCACAGGAACTCGGTCATCTTAGGCCACCTCCAGCGTGCTGCCACTGGCTGCAACATGAGTGGCTGCCAAGAGTCTGCACAGTTCTGTGCTGGGGACCAAAGGCCCTGGTGACATGACCTCATGAGGAAATCTGATCCATGGGTTGCACAGATCCTTGGAAAAAGTGTGATTTCCCTGGAGGGGTAGCACAATCACTCACTGCCTCCCTTGGCTTGGGGCGGGAGTTCCCCTTACCCCGTGTGGCTCCTGGGTGGGCTGTCCCTCTACCCTGCTTTTCCTTGCTCTCTGTGGGTCGCACCAACTGCCTAGCCAGTTCCAATGAGACAATCTGGATACCTCAGCTGAAGGTGCAGGGTTAACTTGCCATATTTGTTCTTTTCAGTGAGAGCTGCAGACCGGAGCCACTTCTCGTCAGCCATCTTAGCCCCTCCCTCCCGATAGTTCTGTTAATAAGCCTCGTTTGTAAACACCCCTCTTAAACTTTACTACGCTTTTGACAATACAAGTGAAACAAGCAAACAAAAATGCTACTTAATTTTGTAAAGTAAAAGTAATAATGAAAAAAGTTAATCCTTGCAACGTTCTTTTTTTATTTAATAAAATGAACTTTTAATTTTGGAATAGTTTCAAATTTAGAGAGAAATCTTGAAGTGCACAGATAATTGCTATGACTAACACCTAAATCCTGCTTTTATTAATATTTTCCATTGATATGGTACATTTGTCACAATTAATGGGCCAAGATTGATAAATTATTAACTAAACTCCATATCTCATTCAGATTTTTTTTGGTGTTATAGGTAGAATAATTTTTCTTATATTAGTCTTCTTAGATTTCTAAAATTACCACAGGTTAGGTGGACTGAGTGGCTTAATCAACAGGTGTTCATTTTCTCAAAGTGCTGGAATTTCGAAGTCCATGATGGCAGTGTCCACAGATTCAGTATTTGGTGAGCTCTCTTCTGGGTTTAAAGATAGCCACCTCCTCGCTGGGTCCTCACATGGCCTTTCCTAGGTGCATGCATGTTGGCAAAGAGACAGCAAAAGTGAGATCTTCGATATCTCTCCTTATATGGCACTAATCTTATCAGATCAGGCACCACCCCTATTACCTCATGTAACTTTAAGTACTTCCTCAGAGGCTCCATCTTCCAACCATGCAGGGTAAGGCTTTGACATGTGAAAATTGGAGGGCACAATTATTCAGTTCTGAATTCTCTAGTGAGCCCAACATAATCACAAAGTCTCTTAAATGTGGAAAAGGAAGGCAGATAAAGGGATTAGAATGATGCAATGTGAGAATGCAACTTAAGGCTTCTGGCTTGGAAGATAGAAGGAGGGTCACAAACCATGAGGAGTTGGCAATCTCTAAAACCTAGAAAGGACAATAAAAAAGATTATTCCCTAGAGTCTCTAGAAAAGAATGCAGCTTTGCCAAAATCATAATTTTAGTTCAGTTCGATTAATTTTGGACTTACGGATTACAGAATTATAAGAAAATAAATTAATGCATTCTTAAGACACTAAATTAATGGTTATTTCTTACAGCAGCCGTGGGAATAATATACTTAATTTTTAACCTACAGGCCTTTTTCTCTTCCAGGATACATTATATTTAGTTGTCATGTCTCCCAACTTTTCTTCCATTTTTCTTTTTGTTCACAAAGGTCAGAACTTCTTTCCATTTTCTCTCAAAGACTTTCTTACTAATACTTATCTATGTGTCTAATCCCATCTTGGTGCCTGATTTACGGAAGACATGAGCTAATCCAGCTATCCACCCTACTTTAAAACATCCTTCCTCTCTCCCCACAGATAGTCGATAGCTAAGGACTAACTTATGGCAGGCTCTCTTGTTTTAAGTGGTTATATTTATGTTCCAGATTCCAACTGAGAACACATGCTTACTTACAAACTTATCCTTGTAAGGAAGGAACATCTTTCCTTACAAATAAAGGATGCTCTGTCATACATCCTTTATTTTCATTCTTCTGAGAGTACTCCCTCAATAAATCATAGGTACCAGAAACCCTGTCTTCAAGATCGCACAGCTAGTAAATCTTATCTAACTCAAGGCCCAGCCATGTTTTAGTGAGTAAAATAACATATCTCTGCTCTCAAGGATCTCAGAGTATACCGCAGAAGAAAATATAAAGAGATCATTTTAAGATATAAATTTAAAATCCTGATAAACCTGAACATACTTGTTTGGTTTCTAGTGTACTTCTTGGTGAGTGCTGCTGAAGGACAGTGGAGCTGTTTCAGGGAGACACATTTCAAAAGAGAAAAGAGTACACTGCAAAGAGTGTCAAATAAAAGAAAAAGAGAACATTTAGGCAGAGATAGAAGTTTTTGTAATTGTTAAGTAGAGTTTAAAAGCCCATGAAAACATCCAGAAAAAAATAAGAAGATGGCAACAAATATTCTTGACCTGAAACATTGACTAGGCCAATTCTAGTGAGAGAACGTTTGCTACCTGGTGTATGAGAAGAAAATGACATTGAGAGATACATTTATATTTGCTCAACGCACTACACTTTTCATACTTTTTAGATATTTTAGCAATTTACTTAATAAATTTACCCATTGATAAATGGCTTGTGTATGAGAAGAAAATGACGTGAGAGATACATTATATTTGCTCAATGCACTATACTTTTCATACTTATTAGATATTTTAACAATTTACTTAATAAATTTAGCCATTGATACTTGTTAGATGCAAGTTTGATTTTATTTGGCCAGAAGTTTTCATTATAAGACTTTCCAGATATTGGATACGTTCAAGTTACCCAAAAATGGCTCAAGTGCTGACCACTGAGTCACAGTGACTGTCAAGAGCCACCCCCCCATTGCCTTTAGTTAAAAAAAAATTACTTTTATAGTATAGCTTACTAATCATATTTTAGAAATATTTTTCAATGGTCAATAACTCTATCTTTTGAAGATTTATTCTAAATACATATCCAATGCTATTAGTCAATAAAAATGATCATTGGAGCTTAATATCTATAATTCAATTTTTGTCATGCGAACATCAAACTGAATTTAAAATAAAGGCAAAAGTAAACATTTGGTCATAAATCAATTCTTATGATGACATAAAAGCTTTATATTTATCTTAATGTTAGCATTCTAGAATCTGATCACAAGCTAATAATGAATAATGGCAAAGTATTGGTGAAGAATAGCTACTTTTTTTACATGGAATACAAAATTTGCTTATTAATTCATTTGAGTTAGTCGTATATATAGATGCTGGAATTTTAAGTGTTAACGGTTTCAATACAGCTAATGTTACTTGAGCACATACTCTAGATAGAATTATGGGTGAAATAATGACAAGACAGAGTTTCTATAATTCAAAGCATAAATAATATTGAAAAGAAAGGCATAAAAATTTTTAGGGAAGATTGTGAAGTGTTACAATAGAGCAAAAGAAAAACTGTGTTATTGATAACAGGAAAGATATAAATTAATTCCAGCATAAAAGGGTAAAGCATCCTAGCCTGTTGCCTAGAATAATACACAAAGTCCCTTTTTTTTTGTCTTTGGGTAATGTTATTCTTTTTTTTCTAAATTTATTTATACTCCCCCTTTAATATCCTGTAACTTAAATCCTGATACACACACACATCTGCACACGCATGCATGCACACACAACACACGCATGCGTGCACACACACACATGCACCCTCCATTTTGAGAGCTCAATGTTGATCTTTGCTGTTGGCACACATAAAGTTAACTCTTACGAACACATTTTATGTCAGATGATAAGGAGAGGAGTGAGAATAAACAAAATATTTGATAGAAACATATCAATATGAAAGTTTTAAGAAGTCAAAATCCTCATTTCTGCAGCTGGTCACATGTTTGTAGCTATTTTTATAACTACTTTTTTCCCACTACCCATTCCATATTTCCATTGGCTTCAGCAAGCATCTGAGCTTGTTGTAATTCTTTACCTGGTCAGGTAATTTAAACTTTTATTTCCGAATGTTCTGGGTCAATAGTAGACCTGCCTGACTTGTTTAGATGTGTTTAGTGTTATTTAGTTTTCCATTACTTTTATTACAGGACATGGGATAGATAAGAGACATGTTACAAGATGTTCTACATTCCAACTTACTCTTCCTTACTTCCATTGATTGTGTAGTATAAACTTCATTTCAATCTGATAGGATCAATGATCCCAGATCTCTGGCTAGCCTGTTTTTTTGTTTGTTTGTTTGTTTTTGTTTTTGTTTTTTTTTGAGGCAGAGTTTCACTTTTGTTGCCCAGGCTGGAGTGCAATGGCGCAATCTCAGCTCACCACAACTTCTGCCTCCTGGGTTCAAGAGATTCTCCTGCCTCAGCCTCCCGAGTAGCTGGGATTACAGTTGTGCACCACCAGGCCTGGCTACCATTAGCCTGTTGACTCAGTGGCATAAGAAACTTAAAATGCTTGGGTAGCAGTCTCAGCTTTCGCCAGAAAGCAAAATTACCAATCACTGGGGGAAATAAGAATAGGTACCATTCAATTTTTATCCCTTAATTCCCTGACTTGTGAATACTTTCTATGGAAAAACACTAAAAGCTGACTTACAGCATATACCACATCCTAGAGGGCGGGATTGCAACTTTGAAAGATAGTATCTGTCCCCTATCTCTTGCCATACCATGAAGACAGTGCCTCATGAGGATGAGAGACATGGTAAAGGCCGTGAATTCTGTGAGTATAGGCCTATTGCTACATTTCCTTTGCTGTGAAATTAGTTTATTGCTCTTGATCAGCACTAATGCTGTGTGGAATACCATGCTAGTGGAGAAAAAAATTTATAATTTCTAAGATGCTGATTTTAGCAGAAATACTGCAATCCAGGAAGCAGATTTTTGTCCAGATTAAAGGTATTTTCCTGTAAGAATAAAACACTGTCCCTTCGGGATGAAAACAGTCCAATGTACTCAACTTGCCACCAGGTAATTGGCTGATCCACCTTGGGAGTGGTGCCATTTTGGGAGCTCAGTGCTAATCTTGCTGTTGGCATATTGGGCACTCAGCAGAGACTATGCACAGACCTGCTTGCATAGTGGAAGTTCATGATTGTTGGGCCCATGCTTAATTTTTATTTCTGTTGCCATGGCCATGGCCAATTTGTTCATCAGCCCATTGAACAATAGCCGGACTGGCTTGAAAAGAAGTTGACTGACACCCATAGATTGTGCCATTTCATCTACTTTATAATGAAAATCCTCCTCTGCTGAGGACACTCTTTGGTAAAGATTCCCATGGGACACAAATATCTTCCCCTTCTGTTTCCCTTCAAAGAGATTTACCCACTGACCTCTTTTCTAGTACTCTTTCTTATCAATTTCACAATTATATTTCTTCCAAGCCTTGATCAGCCAGCTAAACTAGTTTATCACAGCTCATGAACTGATGAGACCTGCACCTCTGGTCATCTGTCCTTCCAGGAAAAAAGATCAGCTAGGTGCACTGCTAGAAGTTTTTCCATTGTGAAGATTTCCTTTATCATTATCTTTCAGAGCTGTCCCAGAGTGGGGTTGCAGGGCTGTCACCATCCACTTTTGAGGGGTGCCTGTGTGTCAGTATGTCATGCAGAATCACCTGTAAACCAAGACTGTGTTTTCTGTTCTCCTTTCAATTAGTTATTGGAAACTTCCCATAAGCCTATAAATGCAAGTAGAGGGAGAAGGCAAAATGCCATGGGTAATGACCATGGATGTCTGAGCTACTTTCTTGTTCAGCTTGCTTGTGCCTTTAGGTCCCGCTCAAGCCTGATCCCCTTTATACCATTTCCATTTGATGAAAATGTTACTATTTAATTTCCAACTTTTGTTTCTTGGGCAACATAACACTCAGTTCATGATGAATATCTCAGGTTGCATGGTAACTGAGAAAGGTTATAGTTGAAGGCACAAAGTCCTTGTAAAAGGAAAAAAAAAAAAAAAAAGGAAAAGCATGTGATCCAGAATTTAAGTGAAGGGCTTAGCCCTCAGTCGGGGCAAGGTACATTTTTCCTTAGTAACCAGAAAGAAAGCTGAGAGTGTAGCTTCATATTATGCAATTTTGATTGTGGAAAGATGAGGAAGTTTTAGTTTGTCAGCTTCCAATTTTGCCAAGAAGTTCAAGGCTGTGTCAAAACTTTTTTTTTTCTTTCAAAAGTTATAAACTCAGATAACACCTTTACCAAAAAACTGTAATTGACCCCTTGGTCTGGCTAAGATAAAGATTTCATTGATTGTAAAGTAGCCTATTTTCACTTCTATTATGGCTTGGACTGTATTATAATGTAATATTTTGTCTATCTGTCCATATGTATACAATATCCATTGAGGGTGTGTCAATGTTTTTATGTTTCCAGCACTTTCCATAATGTAGCGTAGTTGCCCATGTTTATTGGATAAGTAAATAAATAGGAAATGTAAACCAAGCATTATACTGGGGAATAACAATTGTGCCACACTAAGTTCACATTTATAGGCACCAAAAACGTATCTCAGGATAATTGAAACTGGCCCGTATAATCAGAAAATTACTTTATGTGTTTTGAGAAATCATAAAGACTTGTGAAAAGATCAGACATCAGTAAAAATTGTCATTCTATTTAACATATTTTGCAATAATAGTGTCCAAGTCATAGTAAATAAAATACATGTATGTGTGTGTGTGTGTGTATATACATTATATATATATCTGTGTGTATATATGTGTGTGTGTGTATAGATAGATAGATAGATAGATAGATAGATAGATAGATAGATAGATAGATATGTTTAAATAAGTGGAAAATATAATGATCTGGATGTCCAAATCTAATGAGGTTTCTTTTTAATTGGCCATTTTAAAGTGTACAATTCAGTAGCATTTAGGATAGTCACAATGTTGCACAACCATCACCTCTATCTAGTTTCAAATATTTTCATTACCCACAAGGAAACTATTAGCAGCCACTCCTCCGTCTTTCTCTTCCTAGCCTCTGGCAACTATGGCATTCCCTATTCTGGATATTTCATATAAATAAAATCATACAACACGTAGACTTCTGTGTCTGACTTTTTCATTTAGCATAATGTTTTCAACATTCATCCATTTTGTAGCATGAGTCAGTATTTCATTCCTCTTGATGGTTAAAAAATATTCTATTGTGTGTATATATCATATTCAGCAGATTTGGCCATCTGTTGATAGTCTTTTTGGCTATTGTGAATAATTCTTCTACACACCTACTGTCTTTTATGCAAACACTACCTTCTGATTCAGTTTAAGTCCAACATCTAGGATTTCTGGTACACCTTGAGCCCTAGCCATAGGGTGGGTTCACTCTTAATCCTCTGATTGATTGGTCTGCTGAAGCCAGAGGGGGAAAGGCTGGGAGAGTCAGAGAGCAAAGGGAATGGATCTTGAGCCTGATATGCTCCAGCCACTGTGCTTATCTCTGCATACTTCACATGGTTTAATCTCCATCCAGAGGGAAGTATGGATTGAAAGTGATGCTTTTATTGCCAGCTTGAAGCATCTCTTTTCCATTATTTTTATCCCTTCCTCCTCTCCTTGGGTCAAGTTTGTGATAGCTGCTGTATGTCCTTGGGCTGTGTTCTCTAAACCCCACTGTTCTCATCTGTAAAATAGGCATTATAATTCCTGTTGTACAGGTTTGTTGTGAGGAACCTATGAATGCTTGCTTTTTTCCTTGTAAGAATTTGGAACAGCTAAGTTGGAGACTAGCTTGAAGGGGCATCCATATGAAAGATTATTTCTGTCGAGTCCTTCTTGATGAAGGAGTTCATTAAGCAGTGCCTTTAGGGGCCTGCTTAGGAAGGAATGAAGCTGAGGTTTTTCTTATTACCATGTCTAGCTGTCACTGTTAGAAAGTTGTCCCCGACAACTTCCCTGTTCTGCAGGTAACTTTGGTGCTCAGTGTATAAATCTATGGAAACTGGTCTCTTCCCATCTCACCCCAGGCACAACTAGGCTTTGAGGTAATCTTAAAATGGTTAACTTCCCGTTAACTGTATTCTTTAAAATAGTATTTATGAAGTAACCACTGTGCCAAGTGTTTTGCAGGTGTTGTTTACAAGTTTTTTTTTGTTTGTTTGTTTTACTTTTATTTTTTATCTGTGGTTAGTGAACGAGTTTAGGAGCTCGGCAGACCTGGACTTTTATATCCTAGCTATACCTATCAGTGACTGGTTCTGTGACTCTGGATGACAAATCATTGGTCTTTAGGTTTCTTCATCTGTAAAAATGAGGGTTAATGTAAAAATTAGTTAGCTTTCTTTCTTGTGTCAACTAGTATGTTTTTTGGGTTGTAAATAATAGGCAATTTGAAATAATCATAGTAATGTATTAAAGGGTGTTTTATCTTCCCAGGCAAGAGGTCTGGAGGTAGAAGGCTCTAGAGTTGGTTAATTCAGTAGCTTAAAGATCCAGATGTTTTTCTGTCTTTCCTCTCAGCCATCTTTAGCAGGTACATGTTTTCACTCCTCCGTGTCACAGAGTGGCTGCAGCAGATCTAGGCATCACGGGCAGATTCCATGAAGTCCAGCAAAGTAGAGTCATATTTTTCTGGTGCATCTTTTTATTATTAGTAGTAGTAGTAAGTAGTGGTAAGTAGCTCTTCCTCAGGAACTCCCTGGCTGACTCGTAGTTCCTCCTGCCCTATGTCTTCATCAGGGTTCTTTAAGTTCATTGAGTTCTGAGGCAAGTGCATACACATTATTCACAGAAAGGTGAGGATAAGGGGGAAAAGGGGGACAACAAGGCCAGGAAAGATGTGAAGCCGTGTGCTGGAGTGTGTTTTTGCAATGGCCACTGATTTATGATAAGCGTCGAAAAGGCATAGGTTACATTGTTTACATGGCACATAGGGCCTTTGAAAAGGTTGCAAGGAGAAACCTTATTTGCATTTGTCAAGGAGTATTTTTCTTTGCTTGCTGAATTATTTGGAAGGTAGATAGAAGAAAGGAGCACACTTGATCATATCTTTTGAAACAAATTTTTAAATCTTCCCTAAAGCCTAGTACATTTCATTTCACTTGCTTTATACTGAGAAGGTAATATACTTAGTGTTTAAATACATGAACTATGGAATCCAAGTACCTGGGTTCAAGTCTACACACTGCAGCTCAACAGCTTATTAGTGTCTTCTGCAAACCTTCTAAGACTGTTTAGCACATTAAATGAGTTAATATTTGAAAGCTCTTAGAACAGTGCCTGGCAGTCAGTGCTCTGTGTGCATCTGATTAAATGTATTGAGAATACAGACTCAAAGCTATGATTTTTAATCTTCCAGAAACTTGCTTTCTTTCCTCCAAGATGTGATTTTTACCCTTTTTTCTACAACTCAGAGCTCTTTGACATGTCCCATGTAATGCTCATCAACCTATGAACCTTTTTTTTTTGAAACGGAGTCTCTCTCTGTCGCCCAGGCTGGAGTGCAGTGGCGCGATTTCGGCTCACTGCAAGCTTTGCCTCCTGGGTTCACGCCATTCTCCTGCCTCAGCCTCCCGAGTAGCTGGGACTACAGGTGCCTGCCACCTCGCCTGGCTAATTTTTTGTATTTTTAGTAGAGATGGGGTTTCACCGTGTTAGCCAGGATGGTCTCGATCTCCTGACCTCCTGATCCGCCTGCCTCGGCCTCCCAAAGTGCTGGCATTACAGGCATGAGCCACCGCGCCCGGCCAACCTATGAATCTTTATCAAGTCTGTGACTCGATAAAGGGACACAGACTGAAATACGCACTGTTTACCTTCACGTACACACATTTCAGCTTCACTTAGCAAATGGTATCTACCCCAGTGGGTGCCATTAATCTGTCCTCTTGTGGTTTGGTTTACCTATCATCCTTTTTCTCAAAAACACGGAGGCTGCCTGCTTTAACTCAAGCACTTTAGCGGAGTGTTTCCCTGATGCAGGTGCTTGAGAATTGCTTGTTAAATGAGTCGTCAGTGCTTCCTATCTCAAATTACTCATTTGCAGACATGTCTTATTTCCCTCACTTCTCTGTAAAGAGCATGAGGGCAGGACCTAAATCTTTATTAGCAATGTTCAAATAAAAATCTTACTTAAGTTTTTAAGTAATTTTTTATAACAGGAGTAGTAATGGGATCCTGATTTATATATTGGCCTATTTTAATTTTTTCTGTGAGACATAGCTCATGTGAAGCTTTTATATACACAATTCATGCAAAGTATTTTTTACTAAATTTTACATAAATATACTTTTGTTCAATACAGCAAAATAAAAATTTCTTACACATAGAATCAAGTACTCTTCACTCTAGTCCCCAATTATTTAACATATAGCCCAAGAAACATTATTTTTGCATGTATATGCATATTTATATTTATTAGCAAAGTAGTTTTTCCACCTTTATATTAAAAGGCACACCTATGAGAGAATTAAATTGTTTAATTTTTTAAATTACTTATGCCTATTTAATTATATACACTCAAAATTCAATGTTTTAATTTAGTGAAATATTATTAATTTTACTAATTGATCTGGGTTTTATACATTTATTTTCTGAGAATTGTTTAAGGTAGTAACATGCTGTGAATTCCTTTGTGTCATATTGAATATATTACTGAGTTTCAGGAACAAAATGATATCTTTATTGTTTTACAAAGGTTACCTTCAATTGTACATTTCTAGAGCTGATACAATAGTCTATTTTGAAACATATATTTAAAGGCACAGTAGAGAAAAAGATTATTATTTTAGTTCCTTTAACAAATAATCTCAAATACGAGTTCTAGGAACATAAAGAATGGTAAGAAAAAAACAGATGTATGGATAGAAACTCATTTCATTATGAGTTAGGCATATCTCTTTTTCTAAAGAGGAATGTTTCTTGGAAAAGACTCAAAATATATATTAAACATCTCTCTTAGATTAGGCTTCATGATCTGTAAAATAGGGACAGTAATAGTAAGCTTAACATGATTCACTTAAAATTGAATACATAATGTATGCAATAGCACAATGCCTGGTCAAAGCAAGCAGTCATTTTAAGTTAGCTACTTTATTATGATCTACACAAACAGAGGAAAGGGCAATGTCAGGCATCAATTTCTCCCCATTATCTTATTTAAGATAGAAGGAATCTTTAACAGTCACTTTTTTCTTGCCATAGTTTTAAAATAGTACTAGACTTTGACATTTTCCAGCCCTGGGTAAAAAAAAAAATGACTTGGAAAACAGTTCATTAATCAAATTGCCATGGTTGATTGTTTGTCTGAATATACATAATAGATAATAAAGTGTTTGAATGTTGAGCTGCACATAAAATTGAACCACGTATGAATTAGAATGAATATTCTGAGATCTTAATTTATTAAGGGTTGTGGCAGGCAGAATTCTAAGATAGCTCCAGAGATTATTGGACTATTAAGATTGTCTGGTATAATCGCCTCCATAAATTCAGGTGGGCCTTACCAAATCAGGTGATCCTTATTTTAAAAAAAGAATTTAGATATGAGAGACAAGAATTAGAGAGATTCAAAGTATAAGAGACAAGCCTATGTGGCCTGACATTATGGGCAGTTTCTGAGAGCTGAGGACAGATCCCAGCCAACAGAGCAAGAACATAGGGACCTCTGTCAACTCACTGCAAGGAAATAAATTTTTCACTAATTTAAGGGAGTTTGGAAGTTGATCTTTCCCTAACTGAATTTCCAGGATAAGGATGTACTGAGTCAACATTGTGATTTCAGCCTCACGAGAACCTGAGCAGAGGACCCAGCTAAATTATGCAAAATTTCTGACCCACAGAAACAGTAAGATAATAAATGTTTGTTGTTTTAGGGTAACTTTGTGCAATTTTAAGCTAACTTTGTGCATAACAACATAAAATAGACACAAGTGGTTCTTTTAGTTTAACATATAACTCGAGGATATCTTGTATGTATCAGGCACTGTGATAGATAATGATGTCACAAAGTTGAAGAAGACAAGTCAGTTTGTGAAAATGTTAACTAAATAAATCTTGTGCACTAATGGTATGGTAGAAAATAGGTGAAAAGGAGCGGGTAAGTGAAGCTTTGGAAGCTGGATGTTCTAACAAACTATTTTCCCAGGAACAGATGCCAGAGGAAGGGGGCATTCCAAGAGAAGACCTCGTAGAAAGGTCTGCACTTGATCTCATATATTTGTCTGTTGGAAACCAATTTTAAACTGGGTACAACTAACAGCTTTCCCACTGTGTCGAGATCTGCAATGTGCTATCTATATATCTGTCTATATAATCATCTAATATATATATATTAAAATTGAATATATATATTATTTAATATATATTGAATTATTGGATTAAAGAGTGCATATATCCATATTAAAAAGTGATTATTATATATAATTATGACTATTACATATATCATATTATACATATATAAGTGAGTATTATATATCATTATATATATTCCATTTTTAATATAGATATATGAACTTTTTAATCCAATAATTCAATATCTTTCAGAGTGTGGTCCATGCTCTGCACACCCAGCTGTTTTGCTTGTCTTGACGAGGAAGTAGAGAAATTAACTAAATAGAAACGTTGTAGAGGGTCAAATATCTTTTAAGAAATTACAAAGACCAGGAAAGTTATTTATATTAACAGCAGCAGTTGTCAATACTAACAATAGCAGAATGAGTTTTGCAAGATACTGCTATAGTGTTGGTTCTCTAATTAATGTGGAAAAGAATCTATTAAGAACTTGATAATAATAAAACTTTTCTAAGCCCCAAACTAGACCTACTGAATCAAAATTTTAGGAAGTGGAACCTAGTAAATTCATTGTTTTAAAGCTTGCCAGTGATAATTTGCCACACAAAATTAGAGAACCAGTGCTATCTTTTAAATGTCATTCCATTTTTGCTAATGTAGGTAACTTCCTAGGTCTCTATTATTCCTTGAGAATTTTACACATGTCCACTCAGCTAATTTCCCTCTTTCCTCTCCAGCAAGAGACAGATTCCTGAACTCCTATTTTCAATAAGACCTGACTTAGATCTGCTAAATGTTTCTGTCAGATGTCATTGAGTCAGACCAAAATTGCTTTGGTCTCCTGAGGAATGACCATTGCACACGTATCAATCTACATGCTTACTTTGACAGGACAACATTTATTAACTCATGTCACAGGGAAATAAAGGACGATGACAATAGAGTCCCAAGGGAGAAAGATGAATATATTAACAGTAGGGCTTAGCTCTAAGAGAGAGAAAGGGAGAAACTCCCCAGACCCAAAGGTGACAAAGCATAAAAAGAAAAACAGAGGAGCTGTTGGAAGTACGCAGAACATTGATTATCTTCCATTGTTTCTGTTTACATCATAGAGAGCAGTATTGCATGTAACTCTCAGTCTTGCATCAAGAACAATCTCCTCTTAGGTTTCTGTCAACCAAGTGTCTTTGTTCAGTGTTTCCTCATGATTGGACCTAAGTCCAATCCAGAGGAAATATCCTCCAGTATATCACAGAAGTGATACTGTGTTCCTTCACTGCATCCTACCAGGTGCCAGATAATGTTGATGCGTCCCATTACTAGTAGTCTTATTTTCATCATTCAATCATTAAGATGAAATCTGATAGACTATAAAGTTACATTTCCCCATGTGTAATAAACATGTTTTCCCTTTGTAATATTTTATATTACAACATATTAATTATTAATAAAAGTAAAGAAATATTTTCAGGCTATATACAATCCTGTTCTTATCCCACTGTCTCCCAGCATTTTAGCATCTATTGATTTTATTTTCCTTGCTTAAACTTTTTATATCGTTTCCCAATAGTGATTATTTGATTCTGCCATTTAGTTATAATTGTTAGCTGGATCTTATTGTCAGAAAGAGTATTTGCCCCTCTTCCGGTTATTTATTTACTTATTTGTGGATTCCTCATTTATTTGACATTATAATCCATTCTTATCATTACATGTTTTCTCCTGAAATTACTTTACAATTGGCTGTTTGAGCTTCTTTCATGTAACTCCTGTGTCTTTTTGTTGTCATGTCTCCATCATTTTTTAGTGTTTCTCACTGATGGAGTTGTTGTATGTTCATCTTTTACTTTCCCTGTCCCATCCCTGGATCAACCATTTTTCAAAAAGTTCTGGATTCTTTCAGGGGAGAGTATAATTAGCAACCAAGATCTATATTCTAGGTGTGCTCATTACTACTGATGTGTTGCTCTTCAGGTGCCTTCACAAAGTACAGGACTGGAATAAATATATATTTGTATGTGCACATATTTACGTTATAAACATCCATCTCTCTATCCATATCCATATTTCTATCTTTATACAGTTAAACCCATGTGATTATACCAGTAACCCTATTTGTAGTGCAACAATGCAGAGTTCATTCTAGATGTGCCTCTTCACCTATTTGTACTTCTGTTTTCCAAGGGTTAAGAAGCCTGGATCCCATTGTGCTCAATATAGCTTTTTTTGTTTGTTTGCCTTAGCCACCCTATGTGTAGCAACAAGGCCATCAACAGGTTTTGTGGGGTCCCAGAAAAATATTTTCGTGGCTTTTGTCTTTATAAATGTTTTGATTAAAATGATTTAGAAACTTACAGATTCATGTAAAGTATGGAGGCATATCAATAAATGTTTGGAAAAATGAGTAGAAGCGTATATGTATTTGTTTATTGTCAGATCAGTACATGTGAATATTCATGATGTCTAGACACTATCGCTTTCTGTACAGATCCAGAAACCAGCTTTTTCTATTTTGTATTGTCAAATGTACCATTCCTGGCTAATATCTCCCTGAAAATAACAGCAGTGCTGTTATTACTTGTAATGCCTTCTGAACCTATCTGTATTGAAATGATATTAATAATCTTCCTCCTGCAGTCTCCTAATAACAATTATTTATCACTGATTATATTATTTCTCATGACACTGCATCATCCACCTTGCAGTCCATGAACTTTGGCTTCCAGTGACTCTTCCAAAATTTTTTATTACTATGTTTCATTGATAGTGACTATAAATGCGAGTTTTGCCTGCAGTATTCAGACAAAATGTGAATGATAGTTCATTTTCTGATTATGTTGACTTTACCATACATAATTTTATAGTAAAGATGTCAAACAGCACATCCTTCAACCTATCTTCTCTTGAACTCTGTTATTATTGCATTCATAGAATATAATCTCTTTCAATTTTGACCACATTCCCTACCTTCCTACCCTCCAGGCAATAGTACTAGGTGGCAGAGTAGGCAAGAGTTCCTAGGCAGAGCTAAAAGAGTGATTTCATTTGCACAGGGAATATTTATCTTTCCTTTGGTATGGCTTAGACTCATAGAAAAAAGCATATCATTGGCAAATCAGTGGTAATGGAGCACATTGATTGAAATAAGTTGTAGATGGTCATGTAAAGCCTCCAAGGATAAGCTGAGACATGCCTTGAGGGTTGCCTGACATATGATGGGGAACCTGTGAAGAGTACCAGTGGTAGTAAACTCCCCAGGAACAGGATGACTACTGCCATCTTCTCAGCCTTCAGGACCTGCAGACCACAGGCAGCACAGCAACGGGATACCAAAAGGGCAAGAGTAGGCATACTGGTCACACATTTGGCTATAGCCCGTGAACTGTGCCCGTTGCCCAAAGTCCTGAACTCTCCTCTGTTGAGAAGAAAGAACTCAGTATCTCAGCATCTTTCCTGCACACCAATCTTCTGCTCTCTGTTAAAAGAAATACAGCCCCTGCCAGTGGGAGTGATCCTTGCCAGTCATCTTTCTGAAACCATGGAGAAGTTATGGGGCCAGAAACCATCCCATAGGCAGGAGTCTTCGTGGTCCTCGGGGCGTTTACTCAATCTCTTGTGGGACTGGGAAGGCATAAAAGGTTAGAATGTCTCCAAGGGCAGAAACAGGAACAGGCTTACACAGTTGCTGGCCTAGGGCTACAGATCCTGTCTTTCCATGCAAAAAAAGCCATTCCAATGTGCAGGGCCCCTGAAATGTGTGCCCAAGGCAGGGACCCTGCAATGTGTGCCCAAGGCAGGGACCCTGCCTGCCCAGGTCTAGGCACTCTGTGGAGCTTAGCTGCTCCAGGTCACTCACTGCAAGATGCCCTCCTGGCCCAAGCGGGACCTCCAATGGGCTATTTTCACCTGTGTGCTTTCTTTTGGACCTGGGTTGCCTTCATGACTCTAAATCAATTTTTAATTATTTAAAATGTCTAATATCCTGGTTATTTTCAAAATTGTTGTTATAAACACTGTGTATTAAACTGGATATTATCTTTCACAGATCTTGCAGCCACCACTGATTATTTTCTTATTGTACTTTCCTGGAAGTGGGGTTTCTATGTCAAACATGAGCTGTAAAGACATCGGTAAATATTAAAGAGGGCTTGCAGAGTAGCTATGAGGATTAACTCAAAAGAGAAAGCATTTTTACGTTCAATATACACATCTTAATTTTACTTTCTGCTGTTATTCAAGAAAATAATATTTTCCTTTACTTTTATATATAGTTATTTTTGGGTCTTATTTATTTTAATAAATTCATATTTCTGCTTGCTTTTTTTAGAAACGTTAGTACTACTAGTTTTATGTCAAATTCTAAAGAAAAGACTAAACCAAATGCCATGTGAGCTATTAAATCTTCTGTAAAATGACTTTGTATCCATGTTTAGGGGAACCATGTAAGAGCTTGAAACTCACAGGTGGTCCTATTTATGATCTCGAAAAGCTTGGTGGAAAAAATTAGTCACTATAAGAAATACTTGGTGAAAAAGCAATAGCTTAGAATCCTACATAGTTCACTATTACATTTAAATATTTAAAACAAAATATATCTCTGTGTACATACTACATGTAGGAGAAATGAGCATGTTAATTTGAATTTTTTTCAAACCTGAAATTAATGTTTTATATTTGTATGTTTGTATCTTTTATAAGAACTTGATTTATTGGATTCCTTTTTTATTAAAACTGAATTATTCAACTGTAAGGTATTGAGTGGTTTATTGCTCACTTAAAAATTGCCTCACGTCATCTTTTTATCACCAGGTAAAATTCGTTGAATGTTTTTTAGGCTTGGGTTTCTTTTTCTGGTCTATTACCACCAGAGTTTTTTTTTGTCTCTAGTCCTATTTTGTTAATATCTAGTTAAAATCACATTTCTTTTACAATCCACTGGATTGTATTTGTCTGAGGTTGGAATCTATTTTGCTTCTTGGCTTCAGTTCATATTTCTTCAGCTTCTATTTAGAAATAATGCATATCACTTAATTTAGTTTCAACAGTTAATTATGTTCTTTGGTTTTTAATTAATTTGATATTAAAAAATTAAACATTTGCCAAATCGATAAAATTAGTTCCATCCTTTCTTTGTTAACTTACATATATAATTTCTCACTGAATTTTATTTTTCCTCATGAATTATTAATTAACATTTCAAAATAAAGCATAGTTTCATAGATCATACACTTGCACCCACACACACAAACCAGTTATACATCCATGTTTGTAAACTTCTTAGTCAGTAGACTTTGTGTTATTATTTATTTTGAAATATTTGAGAATTTTGTTGCTGTGGAGACACATGACTGATATGTGTGGACACTTTACATTCAGTAAAAATTAAGCAAAATATTTATACACAGACATATAAATAAAACTTTCATGGGCTATTAATTCCAAACTCCTTTCAACCATGATAACCTAGATATGCTGGACAAAAGTGAATTTAGAGGTTGAGGCCAACATTTAATTAACCTTGCAATAAAGAAAATGAAATTCTCAGGTACCTGAAAAGAAAAGGGTACATTTAGTACCATAAACTCTGTATTTAATGGGAGTGGGGTGTGTTTTGAAATGCACAGAATAAGGTTTTAAATACTAGTGACTTGTACTTTAACACACCCCAAAGGGTTAGGATGCTCAAATGAGCAAGTGAGAAAGTAGGAAATTTTAAAAATTGAATAAAGTCTGAAATATTTAATTTCCAATAAAAATCTTACCAGTTCAGGGAGAAAACAAGAAACTTGTTTATTTCAATGGATTTGGATGGGGAGTGTATTCTCCTATGAGGAACTGGTGTACAAAGCCTTTTATTTGTCCTGGTTAGTGGCTAGAATTTAATAAACTTAAAAGGAGTAAGACAAAGGAAGCCAATCAGAGCAGACTGGTAGTGTCTGAACACAGAACAGTGCAAGGTGTGGGAAACCATACCAGACTCCATCTGAACAAAACCCAGGAAACACGTGAATGTATTCCTGAATATAGAATAAAGAATCTCCTTGTTAAACTTGCCTTGTAGACAGAAGAATCATGATCAGAACTGGAAAACAGTGGACCTTGGTTGATGTATTTACACCCTGCCTTCAATCCCTATTGATAGGACTTCCGTTTATGGTCAATTTAGAGTAATGAAGAACAGCTGTACTCTTCCCTGAAACAACTGAGAACAGACAAAATACATAAAGTAATAGTGTACAAAATATTAGGCATCACATGATGAAGGCAATGATCCTTAAGACATGGGAAACAACTAAAGTCAATTCGTTGAATGCTAGTTTTACTGCATTGAGTAAGCTCCTATACTGTGCTGCAGAGAAGGGAAAGTCGAGACAGAGCTTGGTGAGCTCTGTGAGTGAAGAATATGGACATGGGAGTCCAGAGAGACTAAGACTGCCAGAATTTGGACAGAGCACCAGAAAGGAGAGAACTCCATAGAAGGAGAACTCCAGAGATCTGTAGAGGGCCCCCTTGAGTATTCTGCTGTGTAATGATCAGTATTACCTGTATGGGGAAACTCTCTGAGGCTAGGAAAGTAAACACTCGAAAGGCTTATAGAGAAGAGTATCTGGCACTCAAATAAGGCTGAACTGTGGTCTATTTCCACCTGCTATGATGGAAAACCTCATGATTCACAGAGCATCATGTGGAGTACACAGAAGAATCTTTTTTCAGTAGTGGGGAAAGATTATCCTGAGACTGAGCTCTACTCTTGTTCTCCCTTACAAATCCTAAGAGCAAGGCCAGATAAGATCAAACTACGTCCAAATCTCTCAATTTTATCCTAGAATAAAGCTGAAAAATATGAATAGGATATTATATATATTATATACTATAGGATCTGTGGAGTATATACAGAGTATATAATGTATACACTATAGGAATAATATACTATACATATTAGAGGATTATATATATATGTACACACGCTATATATATACTCAAGGATCATTTTCTTTATCACATGATGACAAATATTTTTGTACACTATTACTTTACATATTGTATATATGTGTGTATATATATAGTGTCAGTATATTTTTGAGCTGTATTCTAGTTAAGATATTGTAATATGTGTATATCTGTGTATATACATGTGATATTATAATATGTGTATATCTATATATGGCATATACATATATATTACAATATCCTAAGTAGAATACAGCCCGAGAATATATAGACAAAGACATACACATACACATGCCCTTACAGACACATATATGCTTGAGGTTTATTATATGAAATATAAAGTACTAATTAAAGATACTTAATACAAAAATATCCTTCAACAAACAAAGTAAAAATGCCAATGTCTGGCAATGCTAACCAAAAAATTATCTGGTTTTCAAAGAGGCAAGATAATATGATCCCTAAGGAGTAGAAAAATCAGTCAAAAGTAAGGCTTAATGGACACAGATGTTAAATTAAAAGACAACTATATTAAAATAGTTCTGATAACTCTATTTCATATGTATGAAAAGTTAAGTAGGCCATGGAAGACAAAAAGGGACCCAAAGTATATTTCTGTCAAAACTGTAATTTGTGAGCTGAAAAATTCAAACAATGAGATTAATGGCAGATGGGACATTGCAGAAGAAAAGATTAGTAAACTTGAAGGCATAGCAATTGTATCTATCCAAAATGCCACACAAAGAGAACAGAAAACTAAGGATAATAAACAGAGCGTTGGAGAGCTGTGGGGCAACTTCAAGAAATGTAATATATGTGCAATTGTGTTCCCTGAAAAAGAGAGATAGACAGAGAAAATATTTGAGCAAATAATGGCCAAAATTATTCCAAATTTGTTTGAAACAACTATAGCTCCACAGAACCAAAAAGCTCAATGAAATCAAAGCATAAGGAACATGAATAAAATGACATCAAGATACAGCATAATAAAACATTTTCAAAATCATCAATAAAGAGAAAATCTTAAAAGTATCCCGAAGAATGAAAGACATATTATGTATTGAAAGACGATAATGATAAAGACCTCAGATTTCCTGTAAAAAATATATGTAATATGCTTGACACAATTCAAAGTACTGATTGTATAGCCGTAAACAATATAAATAAGCTTCAGACCTTGTAAAGCTTACATCTGTATAGTGAAATCATACAACAGAGATAAGCAAATGTTATAAATGATAAACTGTCAGACAGACAATGACAGCACAAGGGAACAGAGAATAAAAGGATGCTACCCTTTAAGGATTGTCAAGGAAGATACAGTCAGACTTTTGAATATTTAAGGAACATTTCAGGTATAGGGACTATTGTAGCCCAGGGATTGGAATAAGCTTGATGTTGAATGTAGTTGGCATTCAAATGAATGAATGAATGAATTAAGAACACAATTCATTCATGCTTTGATGTTAAGAATTGTTAACTTTTATTGATCATCTGTAAAGACACTCAACTGTGCACTATAGTTATTCCTAGGATTATTTTGATTGAGTGTCTATCATATGCCAGGTTCTTTAACAAATTCTTGAAATTTCTGTCATCAATTTACAAATTAAGTATTATGCTCCTTCCCTTTTAATGAAAAGAGTCTGAAAAATACCACCAGCCATTGTATAATTCCCAAATTTAAATTTAGGTCATATGTCTTTCTGGTTTGAAACTCTTTATATCACATCAATGTTTCATGACTAATGAAGGTGCAAATATTTATTATGTGTGGGTTCATAAAATAAAAAATGTACATAATCTTTTTCTACAAAAGAAAATAATGTATTAAAATTTTGATATGTGTAATTTTTATTCAGAGATTACCAAAGACTTAGTATTTCAAATATGCTATTTCTAATGTAGAGATCTAAAAATATGTTTGTTCCCTGAGGAATTGCTATAGTTACAGTTACTGCTTATTGTATATTTGTGGTTAGCAGATAACTTTATAAAATCATTTAGAAGAATATTTAAATTTGAGACTTTACAGAGACATGAAACACCTTTTAAAGAAACAGTTAGGTCCACATACAATCATGCTAAAATATATATATTATATTCGTGTCCAAAGTATTATATATATATTTACAAACATTTCTGAATGAATTAATTAATAAATTATGCCCTTGTAATTAAATATCCTTTCATAATATTTTATAAGGGTAGAATGTTGTTATATGTTTAGGAATGTATTTTAGCTTATTTTTCTAATTTTTAAAAATTTTTTGCCATTTCAAAACAGTTAAACTTTCTTGTGTATAAATGTTATTGCCAATATCTATGTATCTCTTTAGGATTAAAAAAATTCCTATTATTATGTCATTTACTATTTTTAATACAGAAGATTCTTTGGATAAATGTTCATATCTGTAGCAACCTTGAGGATGGTAAAGATCAAGACTTCCTAGTTCACTTCCGCACTCATTTGAGCTGGCACTGGTGCCAGGCACATACAGCATGATCAATTAACGTAACTTTATTTTTCAAAATCATGGGTTTTTGGAGTAAGCAACATCTGGGACAAATAAAAATACAAACTCTTTGATCTGGGATAAGTTCTTAATCTGCATAATAAAATAAATGTCTAGGCTGTTTCAATTATTAAATGTTATCTCACATATAAACTGATAAGCCTGGTGCCTAACTAATGAGTGAATAGCAGCTACAGTTATAACTAAAGGATGCAAATTCATTTAAAAATGTAACAACTTTCAAGTTTCTGTTTTCTTCACTTTATGAACACCAGGGATAAAAATCCCACACAAAAAACAGGCTCTTAGATAAGTTTCTCAAGATGATATAATAGAGAAAAGTATAGCAAATTTCTGTCACTAGTATATGCAGGTGTGAAATATAAAAGGAGTTATTTGTGGTGTCCATTTTACCTATATTATTAAAAATTATATTAGGGACATATCTTCAAGCTACAGCACTAGATTATTTAATTAACACTTAATGAGACTACTTCTATACAGTAATAGCTATTAAAAACAATTATAGGCTGGGCGTGGTGACTCATGCCTGTAATCTCAGCACTTTGGGAAGCCAAGGCTGGAGGACCACTTAAAGCCAGGAGTTTAAGACCAGCCTGGGCAACATAGCAGGACCCTGTCTCTACAAAAAATTTTAAAAGTTAGCTAGATGCAGTGGCACACACCTGTAGTCTCAGCTACTTAGGAGGCTGAGATGGGAGAATTGTTTGACTCTAGGAGTTCAAGGCTGCTGTGAGCATAATGCTACTACTGTATTCCAGTCAAGGCAATAGAACAAGACTCTGTCTCAAAAAAATTAGAATTCAAAACTTATATGTACTTCAAATGTTCTATAACTACCTCTAAATAATTTTTCTAATAACAATATAGCATTTATTACTGATCTTAAAAGTTAAGCCTCAAAATTTACCGGTTTACTTCATCAGTAAAGTTGTGACAGCAAGACTAAGAAATATCGAGAATTTTTTTTTTAATACAAATCTTATTACGTTTTTTCTTTAATGAAGTCTCAGGTGTAATGAGGAAAGGCATAAATACGGATGTGCAGGAGTGTTCCTTGTACTGTTGGCTGCTAGTTATAATAAAGCTATCCTTGCCTTTTTCCACCAAGTGTTTGTCAATGGTATTCAGAAATCAGTTTAAGAAGAGTTGCCATAATGTGATTAGGCTGCCTGTGTTCTGACAACATATTCAAGAGCCAAAATTATAAAGTGTGGTGAAACTGAGCATTGGAAAAATGCCTTAATATTGGCTTTCTATTTAAAAACAGTGAGAGGTTCAATACATATCTTCACTTTGGCATGCCTCAATTTCCTCATCTGTAAAACAGTGAGTTTTTAACTATATGATGTATCAAGCCCATTTCAGCTGTTAACATGTGAAAATATTTTGGCCACATTGCCGAAGAGTTCATATTCTTTGATTTTTAAAAAAATTTTAAAAGTATTAGTGAACAGGGTTATATATATATATTTTAATTGGAAAGTAAAGATCACCCACATGAAATCTATGCATTTATCAGATAGCTAAACACGTGTAGAGATTCCACCTACTAGATTCTCAGGAGTGCTGGAAAGCTTGGTGAGTCTGGTGCTGCATCACTTAAGTTATAAGCTTTCCTCCAGGAGGAGTAAAAACAAATCTGAGACCAAGACCTGGGTGTTTCTGGGTTTATTTCATATTTAAGCAATTTTCTTCTTTAAATGACTGTATTTTGTGCTATGAACTTGACAATATGTGTATTTTGCCAGATTATTAGTTACTTGTTACATTGAGTTGGATTGGTTTCTCAGGAGCCCTGTGAGGTCAAAGGAGAAAAAGGGTTAATTGGACACAAGTGTTTGAAGGAGATAGGTACTGAACCCTTACTTAACTGAATAGAAAGATGGAACAGGGGTGTGCTGGGCAACATGGCCAAAATGCTGCTAGACAGGAGTTGGGATTGCCAAGAAAAGCAGAGTAAGGAATAAGGTTAAAAGGAGACAAAAGAAAGGAGACAGAGTATGTCTAGTTTCAACATTTTGAAGGTAACATTGAGAAGCGGTATTTGATCTGAGGGCAAAGGAGACTCACTGAAATAGAGAGATGACAGTTTCAAGAGATTGACACAAAAATGATTTAGCAATAGTGTGCTACAAACTTAGAGAAGAAAGCAGAATTTAGAAGGCCAACACATTGTGTTTTATATCTTAGGTAACTAGGAATCCTACAAAAAAAAGATTCTGTAGCCTAGAAAAGAAAGAATAGAAAAATTAAAACCATGTCCTAGAAAATAAGGTTATTAGACTTTACAATAGTAAAGAATAGAGAGATGGCAACACTTTGGAGTTAGAATTAACATCAGAGATTGTCTCTTAGTTTGTGAGAAAGCTGAAACATAGAGAAGCTAAGAGAAATACTCAGATATTTAACTGGTTTTTTATAGAACAAGAAATGTTAATATTTTTTCCGACATCAAGTTTAATTTTATTTTTGCTGTGTCTTGACCCCCTTTCTTAGATAATGAATATTATTAAAGGACTTGAATATATAAAGAGAAAGAAAAGATCATACTATTTCCTATGTTGTTGCAAAAATAGACAATGAAAACAATTGGGTGCAGAAGTTTCATTTTTACCAAATAAACTTGGAGACAGCAGAAATAATTTCATATATTATTAATTTATTCATTAACAATATGTTTAAATCAAGTGTCATTCTAAAATCTGGGGTTAAAAACATGAGAAATACTTTGTTCCTAATCTCAAGGCATTTATTGACAAGTGGGTGCAGATAAATGCGGCAACTTATAATGTTAACAGGAAGTCCTAAGTTCCGTAATAGAATTGTGCACAGAATGCTATGTGAACCCAGAAAAAGAGCAAACTGGCATACTTTTGTTTAGTCAGAGAACCCTTTCTGGAGTCGAAAAATATTTGGTCATGAAGGGACAACAGTGATTTAGCCCAGGAGACGGGGGAGAAATAAATGTCTTAGGGTAAAGACAGACCTAGGATGAACATGTATCACTGTGATAAGTCACAAGTTCTGTAGGACTGGATATCGGTGGTAAGAGAGTTAGGTTTGGAAGCTGAAGACAAAGGGAAGGATCAGGTCATGAAGAGTTTCATATGCAGCGCTACTAAGTTTAAAATTCATATGAGCAGTACATGGCAAGCTAATAAATGGTGATGAGTAAGAGAATGATGATCAGATCTGTGTTTGAAGATGCTCAGTCTAGTAATACAAAGAGTTTTCAGAGTCTGGAAACTAGGTAGGAAGCAATTTCAGAACTCTAAAAGAAAAAACAAAAGAGCTTTAACTAGAGAAATTATGGAGACAAAGGATAACATAGGAGGAACTCAAGACATATTTAGAAAGAGTTTCAAACATTGCCTGCTATGAAGTTACATTCTTAAAGTGGGAGGGGTAGAGGCTATTTGTCTATCAGGGCTCTAAGTTGGATGACTGGGTGGTGGCAGTGCTATTAAGAGAGATTATTTGTTCAACAGTGGCTAATGGAAGAGTAGTGTAGTATCAAGGTGAAGAACAGGAACTAATAAGGAAAGAACACCTAATAAGTCCTAAGCACTGTACTAGAGACTTTGTAAAGCTCATCTCTTTAATAATGATAATAAATTTGGCTAAGTAGGATCAGAAAGATTATATATATTCTGCCCATTTTTCGTATATTTTAGAAGCATTTGTGGGATTCAAACTTACATATTTACTAGTGAAAAATTCATGCTCCTTCCACTTATCATTCTAAGTGAGTCTCAGTAGGGCTGCATCTTAGGCCTAGTTATTCCATATAACAGTTAGTATGCTTTAGAAAAAAAATCACCTAAAATTTCTAACATTTAGTGTCCATAACTGTAAAAATGATTAAAAAAATGCTATCTCCTTCACAGCAATAACTATTCAGGAGAAGTATTACATGAAGTTTATTTATAAATTGTAATGTGATAAATGTTCATTACAACTGTATCATCATTATTATTAAGATTTATTGTGAAGAAACAAATTTCTCTTTTTAAGTCAGGTCAATTGAGATATAATATAGAGCACAGTAAAGTTTGCCCTTTTAATATGTAGACTGATGAAGCTGACAGATATATACAGCCATGTACTCACTATAAATTAGATATATAGAATATTTCCATCAGCTGCAAAGTCTCCTCATGCCATTTTGCAGCCGATCCCCTAACTATACTTCTTTCAAAAACTGCTATCTGATTTCTGTTTCTATAGTTTTGCTTTATCTAGAATGTATATAAATGGAGTCATACAATATGTAGATGTTTGTTTCTGGCATTTTTCATTTAGCATAATGCTTATAAGAATTATTAATGTTGTTGTATATTCAGGTACTTTTTTCTCTTTAATGTGCAGTAGTTTTTCAGTCTGTGGATGCAGTACAATTTGTTTATATATTCACCAGCTGATGGGCATTTGAATTGTTTTTACATTTAAGCTATTATGAATAAAGCTGCTATGAATATTCAAAGATACCTGCTTTCATTTTTAATACCTAAGAGTGGGATTTTAAGTCATGTGATCTATTTATGTTTAACTTCATACTTTGAAACTTTTTCAAAGTATATTCCCATCAGCGCTGTATGAAAATTTCAGTTGCTCTACCTCTTCAAGAGCATTTAATAGTGTCAGTCTTTAATTTAACCAATGTAGTAGGCATATAGAGGTGTCTCATTATGTTTTTATATCTTTCCCTAATGACTTACTACGTTTAACATATTTCATGTGATAATTTTCCTTACTTTTTTATTTATGTATGTAAAAGATGTATTTATTTTTTTTCAAATTTTTATAAACTTTTTGTCTCCTTATTGTTGAGTTGTAAAAATTCTCTATACAAAACTTTTCTGGGTACAAGATCTGCATGAGATTTATGCTTTGCAAATAATTTCACAAAATTTGTAGCTTGTCTTCTCATTTTCTTAAGAGGATCATTCTAAGAACAACAGTATTTAATTTTGTTGAAGTACAATTTATCTTTTTGAAAATGTTATGAATCATGCATCTTTGCTTAAACTGTCACAAAGACTTTGCCTCATGTTTTCTTATAGAAATGCTATGCCCTTACCTTACACTTAGGGATATAATACATTTCAAATTCAATTTTATATTTGAAGTGAAGTATGGTTAATGTTATTATTGTTTTTTGGTACATGGATATCAGATTGTTCTGACAATATTGATTGAAAAACACAATCCCTTTTTCAATTAATTACCGAGGAACCTCTGTGGATAACCAGTTAACCATGTGTATGTGAGTTTATTTCTAGTTTCTCTCTTCTTTTCTCTTTGTATGTCTATATGTCTATTGATCTGTATGTTTATCCTTATGCCAGTGCCACACTTTTTTGATTGCTGTACCCTTGAATACCTATGGAGGTTAGACAATGTGAGTTTTCCAACTTCAATCTTTGAGTTTCTTACAGACATTAGTTTGATAGGAAAACCTCTGCTTTTCAATTGCAGAAAGGTACAAAGAAGAAAATGCAAATTACACATAAGCCTCTCAATAAGAACTTTTTGAAAATATAGTTTTCAGTTTTATGGTGTTTATAGAATTATGTTAATATATAAAAACATGCAATGTTTTTATTGTGTTATATAACATCATGGCATAAGCAATTTATCATGTTTGTAATTATTTTATTTGTAATTATTATTTTAATGAATATTTCATTGTACAGAACTATCACAAGTTAGGATACCAATACTGGACATTTGTGTTGATTTCAGGTTTTGGTAATTTAATAATAATGTAATGAGATATTTTTCCATAATTCTTTGCATCTATGGCTATTTTCTACAGCTTAATTTCTGCCAGGGAAAATATTGGGTCAATGATTATGAGCACTTTTAAGAGCTTAAAATTTCTACCCATAGACAAAAATATAAATAGTAACATAGAAATTATTTCACACTGTCTGCCAAATTTATGCTTTTTTTAGCCATAAAAGTTTCATAAACAAGTTTATGTCATTGGATTCTCTGTGCATTTTGTCATTTTTTAATAATTAAAATTTAGTATGTTTCTCTTTTCTTACCTGCTCCCAACCCTCTTCAGATTCACCTGTTGGGTAAAAAATTTCCCCAAGCTTTGCAATGAAAAACTATAACATGTAACCAAATTGAATAGTTAGACAAAACAGAAACAATCTACTAAAAGTTTATGTTTGCTAAGTCAATTTGCAGGGTATAGAAAAGGATATTAGAAAACTTTAGTTCACATAAACAATAAATACCTAGTTATTCATTTGGGTGGATTAGTTTGAATTTCAAAAAAAATTTTTTTTTTTTGAGACGGAGTCTCGTTCTGTTGCCCAGGCTGGAGTGCAGTGGCGCGATCTCGACTCACTGCAAGCTCCGCCTCCTGGGTTCATGCCATTCTCCTGCCTCAGCCTCCTGAGTAGCTGGGACTACAGGTGCCTGCCACCACGCCCGGCTAATTTGTGTATTTTTTTTTTAGAGACGGGGTTTCACCGTGTTAGCCAGGATAGTCTCGATCTCCTGACCTCGTGATCCGCCCTCCTCGGCCTCCCAAAGTGCTGGGATTACAGGCGTGAGCCACCGCGCCAGGTCTTGAATTTCAAATTTAATCATTTTAAAGTATTATTACTAATGAGTATTGCAAGCACATCACTATATAGGTAATTCTTGTATATAAATATCAGAAATTATTGTATGCTAGGCAATGTACTAGGCATGTTGCATTCATTCCTTCATTAAATCCTAATAACAAACCTGCAAGATGGGATGGTCACATTCATTTTACCTAGGAGAAAGTGGAAGCTCAGAGCAATTCAGTACCGTTGCATAGTTGAAATATCACAGAGGAAATGTCTACATCAAAGGTAGCCTGGCTCCAAAATCCATGGTATTTCTTCTACACCATAATGTAATTGTTAGGATTTAAATGGTCTATTGCTGTACTCTTTGGCATTCCATTTTCTTCCATCTATTCACAAAATATACTAAATTCTTCCAACATATTGAGCACTCTTCTGGGTGTTGGGAATACAGAATATAGGGGAATATAGCAGACAAAATCTCTGAATTCATGAAGTTGTCTGTTAAGTAAGGATATACGGCACACACATTATTTCATAAATATACAATATTTATAAAATCATATGTATTATAAATTATTAAGGAAGAATAGAGGGTGTAATGATCACAAAACAAATGGACCTTGTTTACATTTGGAACCGGCGCTCTCAATAAAAGTATTTATTAAGAAATTAATATTAAAGATAAGTCCCATGTGATGGGTTTAACAGGTGAAGCATAGGGAACAGCATTCTGGGCGGAAGGATCAGCATGTTAGCAGGCTCTGTTCTGAAGTCATGCTGGACCTCGTTGTGCAAGAAGACAGCAGGAGCTATGCGATGTAGAGCCTTGCGGGCTTTGTTAAGAACTCTACTTTTTATCTCTCTTCTTCTGTTCCTTTCCAGATCTTGATGTGGTATATTCTACTTCATAAAATATTTATGCCCCCTCACACCTATATTAATATCTCCTTTCTTTGACTCTTTGCGCATATATTATCATATGCTGCTAACAAAACTGTTTGCATATGTGACATTATAACTCCTTAAGAGCAGAAATAAAGACACATACTCCTTATCACATAGATGAGATGAGTAAATACCCTCTAATTTTAAAGGTATACTTAAATTTTATGGTAGACCCTCCCATAATGGGAGAAATAAATACAGTTAATATTAACGCTTTTTACTAGAAATCAAATATCATTTGTATGAAATCAGTGGCTGTGGCTCCATTAGCATATCAAAATGTCTGAAGTGAAAATATGTGGAATAAGTAATATTAAATGCTATGTAAATGTAAGAGATTATATTAAGGATAAAGCTAAAGATATATTTTTATGGACTAATGAGAGTTAATAAAAGACACTAGTATCATATTCTTTTGAAATCAATGTGCACATAGAGTATGCGTCAATAAAATCACATTCATGCTGTAAAGACTGAGAAATACACAGAATTTTAGATCTTCCTTTATATGAAAACAACTCTCAGAAGAGCAAAGACACAAATAAGTGACTTGGGTCAAACTTAGAAGGTTTGTCTTTACAAAAATGATTTCTAATACATAGAGAAAATCATGGTTATAAAAGCTTTTCACGGATAGGGAAATAATAGAAAATAAACTTTTTGCATCCTTTTGTTTCTCTGCCTAATTTTGTTTGATGACAGGTAAGTTGACCAAGAAAAAGCCTCCCGACTTGAAATCTGTAATAAAAAATATTAATGGAAATTATAATAGTGCTTTTCCTTCCTACAAATTATTCTAGATATTTTGTATTTCCTAGTTCCGCTGACAACAAATTCACTAGAGGAAATTAGAAAATAATTTATCGTATTTTTGCTCCTGTATCTATGAATCCTTAAACAAGGACGGTCTTTTAGCTCTTTTTTAAGTAAGTAGAAATCTTTTGACTACAGCTGGTTTATAAAAGCTTATTTAATAACTTGAAAAAATGTACTGTCAATTATGTAGTCACGGTAATTCTGAGCTTACCATTTCTTTTTGGTTAATTTAGTAAATGTATAAGCGTATTATAAAAAGTATTATGATGCAAAGTTATAATTTATGACAAGCCAGAAGATTCTATCAAATTGGATATAATGGTTTGACACCCTTCCCTTCCCCTCCTAAAATAGTACTGCATTGTAATTTAACAGTATTATTTTCTATAGTTATTCTTGAGGGTCTTCTGAGTTGAAAGGCATAGAATGAAACATGTTCTTGTTTTTGGTCCTGTCATTTTTGGATTACAGTAATTGTTTTAATTCTGAAATGCTATAAAAATATAAATGAACAAGACATTGCCTATTATTTAAAATTAAACTCATTATTTAACTGAGAGGTAATTTTATGGTAGGCATCATTTCCCAAAGTTGGAAAGAGGTTGAGATTCCTCTTCACAGGTTTCTGTAATCACCTCTTTACAAATAAGCCTTCCCCAAGCCCAGCCTTCGTTGTGCTAATGGTGAATAAAACTTTATTTCACTTCATATAAATATTTTTCTGGCTATCTGAATTATCATTCTGCAAGATGGCTTAAATCTAGTGCTTATGACTACTTAACTGTTTCACTGTTGTGATACTAATATCAGGTCTCTGTCAAACTCGATTAAATGTGTATGACATTCATTCAACATCATTGATTGAGCATCTTCTATGTATAGGGATGGCATTAATCACTGTGGGTAAAACATGGCTTCTGTCATCTCAAAACTTATGACTTACTAGGAAACAGAGACAAATATATCAAGGCACACAGGACAATGGCAGATGCTATGGGAAAGAAAGATAAGAAAGACAAAGGTGCAATGAGGGCAGAAAAGAAGGGCATTTAAATTAGACTGGAAGAGCCAGAAACACTTCTCAGAAGTAATTATTGAGTTTTATCATGTCTAAAAAATATAATTTGTTTCAATGAGGGCATGATGAGAGGTTACCACTTTAAGCAGAACATACAGTTTTGTCTTCTATTAGCATAGCCAATTAAGAATTGATGGATTGAATACATTTTGAATATATTTTAATCTATGTGGTAAAAAGTATTATTATAAGCTACTCCACTGAATATTTTATATTATTGAGTCAAAATAAATATGTAGCTGGACATCACATGGCCATTGTCTGGGAGCTGAACTGACACTAAAGCTGAGACTTTTAATATTGTTCTTGAGCTGACTTTAGCCTCTATTAGAGACTCAGCAAGCAAAGTGAATTGACATGGACCCTAGGAGATAAGGATGGAAGTGCCATAATTCATACTTATCTTTTCTGACCATATCCATTGTTCTTCCCTAGATCTTGGTCATTTTCTATAGTCTGTTTTCAGGAGGTGAGCTTGAAATATTAATTGTCTGAGGTAGAGAGACATAAGGAGAGATGGCAAATGCTGCTTAAAGAGAGAATTGAATAACTGCAGAGCTCTTCTTTTGCTTCATGGAATACAAATGCCATTCATCTTTACATTTAATACATTCACTCATCAAACATTTATGGAATATCTACTATGTGGTAAAATTCTCTGCTGGGATTCACAGATGAATCAGACTTACTTTATACCTCACTGAAACTCATGACTTAGAAGAGACTGACCTGTAGGCACATAAATGAGTGGAACAGACTGGAATTGGCCTATTGATTAATGCATGCATGGGCCAGATGAGCAGAAGGACACAAAGAAGACCTGGCTTCCAGCAGGAAATGATGACTGAGCTGCTTCTAGAAAAGCTAGAAAGTAAATGTGCAACAGCCTAATGAGGACATTTCAGGCAGTGGCAAAGCATGAGGTGTGTGGCAGACTTGGTTATAGGGTTTGTGTAAGACTTGGGTGGTGTTGCATAAAAAGAGCTAGTAGTAGCAGCAGAGTCTAGAAAGGCATAAGGAGGCTGACATCACACTTAGAGAAGAGCTTAGTCTTATTATAGAAGATGAAAGGGGTCATTAAAATGATAACAGCTTTTTTGAATATAGCTTTGTACATGTATCCATGGCGGGATTATTTGCAACAGTAAACAGGTAGAAACAACTCAAATGTCCATCAGTTGATTAATGGATAAACAAAATGTGATGTGTGCATGCAACAAAACATGGTGTGTGCACTGTGGGTGAGTGTGCACATGCACACATACACATATGCACAGTGGAATATTTCTGTCACAAAAACATGGATGAAGAATGAAAACAGTAGGCTAAGTGAAAGAAGCTAAATTCAATGGCCACATATTGTATGATTTCATTTACATAAAAATCTAAAGTATACAAAGCAGATTGGTAGTTACCAGTGACTGAGAGAAGAAAGAACAATGAAGTCCTGTGTAATGAGTACATAGTTTACTTTAGGATGAGGATGTTCTTGAAGTAGGTATTGGTGATGATTACACAACATTGTGAATGTATTAAATGCCACCAAAGTTTACATTTTCAAATTGTTAAAATCATAAATGTTATATTATGGGTATTTTATCATAATGGAAAAAAATAAATACATTAACAGCTTAAAACTAGGGAACATAACAGGAATAGTGGTACCAAAGAACCACAAAATGACTGGCGAACAGTCACTTTGTTAGAAGCATCACACAGTTGCATATGCAGGATTCTGGGGGAGATGCCTGATTTGCAAAGCTGACCAGCAAAATGTTTCTAATGGGACCTCTCCCAGAACATGGAGTTCATTTTTATCCCCTTTGTATTATTTGCCCTTTATTATTACAGCCATGCAGATACCTCTTTGAATATGGGAGCTATGTCTATTATTTTGGCACTAAAGGTAATGCTAGAATCACAGTAGACATTTAAGAAAGTGACTTCATGATTGGGTTTTAGTGTTAATGTGACCTTAAAATCAGTATAGTGTAAACCCCTAAGAGGACAATTTCCTTACATGGGCCTTCCCCATTCTCTTAATAGGCTATTCTTCATTTTCCAATTAAATCGTGTTTACTTTCCTTTTCAAACTACTAAACAGTATACCTTTGTAGCTTGCATCATAGTTTGCTTTTTCTTCAGGGTGAATACTTTGAATAGTAATTTCTTTCATGTTGTCTGAATTCTATTCCAATTGTAAAAGAATTTATATAACCTGGGTGAACCATGCTAACCTAATGTTATCAACATATATCAATCTAGTGAGTTGATCAAATACATATTAACCTTGGATTTTAAAATCAGAAAATTAAGGCTCAAGGTAATTAAGTGGCATGGCATAAATAATAGAGGTCAGAGCCTGCACTAGGACTTGGGACTTCACTTTCGAATTGGCAATGAGAGGCACTCAGTCTAGACCTGACAGAGACTAATCCAGGGTCCTTCATTCCAGTAGGCTGAGGTCTGTCAGCCAGTTTTAAGCTTGACCTTGTAGAGTGACTTTAAACTTCACCTAATGCTTCTTCCTCATAATCCTCCTGCCTGTACTGCTAACGCTCTAAAGGGAAATTTAGGCCATCCTTTTCTACCTTCCTCAAAAGCCTTATTCTTAGTCTTCTCCTTTGAGTGATCTCAAGGTTTGGGGACAAGTATTCAGAGTATAAGAAAGTTTGGAACTCATTTTATGGCCTCACTGGATTTTAAGAAATATCTGTGACCTTGGATGTGATGCAGTGCCTTCGTGGTATCGGAATGTACAGCACTAATGATCTCACTGATTGCAGTGAATAATGCAATCCATGCATTACAGGAATCCATACATTACAAAAATAATGATCTCATGTGTTGCAATGAATTTTTTATCCCAAACACTTCTTATAGGACTGAGTTGCTATACCTACAATGAAATCCCTCTCACTTTGGACTTATTACATTTTAAATGACCTCATTATTTTTTTTTTGTTACTTTAAGTTCCGGGATACATGTGCAGAACATGCAGGTGTGTTACATAGGTATACGTGTGCCATGGTGGTTTGCTGCACCTATCAACCTGTCACCTAGGTTTTAAGCCCCACATACATTAGTTGCTGATGCTCTCCTTCCCCTTGATCCCTGCCCCTGAAAGGCCCTGGTGTGTGTGTTTTCCCCTCCCTGTTTCCATCTGTGTCCATGTTTTCTCATTCTTCAGCTCCCACTTGTGAGTGAGAACATGTGGTGTTTGCTTTTCTGTTACTGGGTTAGTCTGCTGAGGATGACAGCTTCCAGCTTCATCCATGTCCCTGCAAAGGACATGATCTTATTCCTTTTTATGGCTGTATAGTATTCCATGGTGTATATGTACCACATTTTCTTTATCCAGTCTATCATTTATGGACATTTGGGTTGGTTCCATGTCTTTGCTATTGTGAATTAGACATTTAGGAGATTACATTAAATAACTACTTAAGAGTTAATACAAATTACTTTTTAGACTATCCGAATGGCACATCTGTATTATCATTGGTACATGGTACTCAGTCATCTATACATTAACTTTGGTTTTAAATGTGATTAAATCAAATCAACCATTTAGTATATTTTTAATCATAGGTTCTGGCATTCATAAACCAGTCAAGATTTTAGTCCAGCTAGCCTCTGCATTTTATCTATATTCAATTCTCTGAATCTTACTGTTTGGTCCCACAATAGCAATAATTTTGCTTCTATTATTAGTTTTAATAGAGACAATTTAATGAGTATACACATATATATTTTGTGCAAACCACTGTTACATACATTATTTTATTAAATCCTTGAAGCAACACTTTGAGGTAGGTATTTTGCGTTTTTATAAATAATTTAATAGTATTCAGAAAAATTACCAAGTAAATAAATAAAAAAAACAGATTTGGAGCCTAGATTTTTCTAACTCCGGAGCCCATTTACTTAACCATTTTCCATATAAGTATTCTCATATTTCATATTCTAAGTAGGTATATTCCATAGTTTACATAAGTATATAATTATAGAATTAATCAACAACATTATAAAACACTATTTGAATGCTGACTGATGGAGTGCTGCTCCGGCCGCTCACCAATTCCCCTATTTTTAGTATTGTGTGTCTTTGGCTATGTCCTGTCCCAGGGGTCAGATAAAGCTTCTCTCCTGAACAGAGTTGTGAGAGTTGACACTTTTATTTTTTTCTGTGTACATGACTTGAATCTAGGTAGAGTTTAAGATCCCAGAGGATGAATCATAGCACCTCCCAAAGGCCAGGACTCCTCTGTGAAGCAGAGAGCAGGGGAAAACATAACTTCAGAGTAAAATGCCACCGCACAGGCCCATTCATCCTCTCCACCAAACTCTCCTGGGGGCCAGTGAACTCTCCAGATAGTGGCCAGGCTCTCAATGATCTGCAAACCTTTGAGTCTTATGAAGAACTCTTGTAGTCAGGCCTTGTATTCACCCCTGGGAGAAATCCTTTGGTCTGAAGTGTCTGCTTACTGGACTTCACAGCTGCTAATCCAGCTGCCATTGGTAGGATTCCTTCATTCTTGTCTTCCCTTAGTGACAGCACCCCACCTGGGCAGCCTACAAATCCACTCAGCGTTCTCCTCACAGCTTCTCTCTAATCCTTGTGGGAAAGTAATGATCAGCTTCAGATCTTATGTCTGTGCCTGTCATCTTCTGCAGAGAGATATGCTGAGGCCTGGCCTTCATCTTGAGTCTTCATAGCATTGCCCCATGTGATAGCTCCAACTATCTGTTCTACTTCCTCAGCTAGGGCCTCTGTATTCAGCCCACGTCTGTGATTAAGCAGCCCTAAATGTTGTTACCACAAACATATGCTTTTCTTTGATTTATACAGTTTTGATTCAATCTAACAAACAGTTCTAGGATCTTGGTCCCTGACCTTTTTCACCTTAACATATTGAAAGTCCACTTATGCAAGGACATAAATATTTGAATATTTACTTAAGGAAGAGTAGAGATTCCCTACCCCCAATTTAATGAATTCATTAAAATATTCTCATTAGTATAAAGGTAGTTTTCAAATGTTTTTTTCCTTATGCTTTTCTGCAGTATTTGTATCTAATTTTAGAAATGTTGTTTTTGTAATTTTAAGGTAATTATTTTGCTTGTGGGCTTATTTTATTCTCATTAGTCTTGAATTTAAAAATTTTATAGTGAATATTTATTACTTTTCTTAAAAGAAATTACACACAAAGCAAGGGACATTTTTGTCATTTGTATTAATTGATCTGGATTTTTCTTTTTCAGATCAAAGGTCTCATTAGAGGGTTAAATCTAAGTAAGAAAACTAAGAAAAATCTCTCTGGGTTATGTGCCACACTTTTTAGTCATAAAACAAAGATGCTTTTAAGATCTCTTTATCATCCCCTGGTCTTCTCGAATTTTTCAACTGATCTCTGAGTCACTGCTGACAAAAATAACAGGAAATACTATTATCTCTGTAGAGAGTAATTTTTCCCTGACGCCTTTTCAAAAAGATGATTTTGACTAATTTTCTAACATGAGTAATAATGAGGTAGAAAAGTTCATATGAATCATCTTATCTGAATTCCATTTTATAGGTCTGTTTTTAAAATAATTTTCACACAACACAATAGGAGAGGACTAAATGGAAATCAAGAAATGTTAGGTTTCTATCTTTCACACTTTGAAACTATGATAAATTAATATTGAGATATATTTGTTATTGCATCCCACTACGTAGATGAATTTATATTCAAAACTGAAATTAGAGCTTTGTGAGACAAGTACCTTTTCATGGGCAACACACTAATATTTATTCTATTTTATTTTTATTTTTCTCACTGTCTATGAACACATAAATTTACTTTGTAACCCGCTAATTGGAACATATTACTTGAGTAATACTCTTATAGTACATTTCTCTCATTTGCCAAGTGAAAGCCCACAGATAATCGTTAAGAAGTTTAAAACAGGGCCTGGTGGCAAGATGGCTGAATAGGAACAGCTCCTGTCTGCAGCTGTCAGCGAGACCAACGCAGAAGGTGGGTAATTTCTGCATTTCCAACTGAGGTACCCTGTTCATCTCATTGGGACTGCGTAGGCAGTGGGTGCAGCCCACAGAGCAGGAGTAGAAGCAGGGTGGGGCGTCGTCTCACCCAGGAAGCACAAGAGGTTGGGAACTCCCTCCCCTAGCCAAGGGAAGCCCTGAGGGACTGTGCCATGAGGGACTGTACTATCCGGCCCAGATACTGCACTTCTCCCATGGTTTCTGCAATCCACAGACCAGGAGATTCCCTCGTGTGCCTACACCACCAGGGCCCTGGGTTTCAACCAGAAAACTGGACAGCTGTTTGGGCAGAGACCAAGCTAGCTGCAGGAGTTTTTTTTTTTTTTTTTTTTTTTTTTTTTCTTGTACCGCAGTGGTGCCTGGAACACCAATGAGACAGAACCGTTCACTCCCCTGGAAAGGGGGCTGAAGCCAGGGAGCCTAGTGGTCTTGCTCAGCGGGTCCCACTCCCACGGAGCCCAGCAAGCTAAGAACCACTGGCTTGAAATTCCATTGTCAACTTAGTAGTCTGAAGTCGACCTAGGATCATTGAGCTTGTTGCGGGGGGGGCGTCCGCTATTACTGAGACTTGATTAGGTGCTCACTAGATTCCTCTTAACTGGGCAGGCCATCTCAGAAAGGCAGCAGCCCCAGTCAGGGACTTATAAATAAAACTCCCATCTCCTTGGGACAGAGCACCTGTGGGAAGGGGTGGCTGTGGGCACAGCTTCAGAGGACTTAAACGTTCATGCCTGCTGGCTCTGAAGAGAGCAGTGGATCCTGACAAGAAAGGTTCTGCCAGCACAGCACTTGACCTCTGCTAAGGGACAGATTGCCTCCTCAAGTGGGTCCCTAACCCCCATGCCTCCTGACTAGGAGACACCTCCCAACAGGGGTTGACAGACACCTCATACAGGAGAGCTCCAGCTGGTATCAGGCTGGTGCCCCTCTGGGATGAAGCTTCCAGAGGAAGAAGAAGGCAGCAATCTTGCTGTTCTGCAGCCTCTGCTGGGGATACCCAGGGAAAGGGGTCTGGAGTGGACCTCCAAAAAACTGCAGCAAACCTGCAGAAGAGGAGCCTGAGTGTTAGAAGAAAAACTAACAGAAAGAAATAACATCAACATCAACAAAAAGGACCCCCACACACAGAAACCCCATCCAAAGGTCATCAGCCTCAAAGATAAAAGGTGGATAAATCCTCAAAGATGAGGAAAAAACAGTGCAAAACTGCTGAAATTCCAGAAACCGGAATGCCTCTTCTCCTCCAAATGATTGCAACTCCTCTCCAGCAAGGGCACAAAACTGGACAGAGAATGAGTTTGACCAATTGACAGAAGTAGGCTTCAGAAAGTGGGTAATAACAAACTCCTCTGAGCTAAAGGAGCATGTTGTAATCCAATGCAAGGAAGCTAAAAACCTTGACAAAAGGTTACAGGTACTGCTAACTAGAATAACTAGTTTAAAGAAGAACATAAATGACCTGACAAAACAGACTTTAAACCAACAATGATCAAAAAAGACAAAGAAGGGCATTGCATAGTGGTAAAGGGATCAATGCAACAAGAAGAGCTAACTATCCTAAATATATATACACCCAATACAGGAGCACCCAGATTCATCAAACAAGTTCTTAGAGACCTACAAAGTGACTTAGACTCCCACACAATAATAGTGGGAGACTTTAACACCCCACTGTCAATATTAGATCAATGAGACAGGAAATTAACAAGGATATTCAGGACTTGAACTAAGCTCTGGACCAAGCAGACCTGATGGGTATCTACAGAACTCTCTACCCCAAATCAACAGAATATACATTCTTCTCAGCACCACATAGCACTTACTCTAAAATTGAACACATAATTGGAAGTAAAACACTCCTCAGCAAATGCAAAAAACCAGAAATCATAAAAAACAGCCTCTAAGACCACGGTGCAATCAAATTAGAACTCAGGATTAAGAAACTTACCAAAACCACACAACTACATGGAAACTGAACAACCTGCTCCTGAATGACTACTGAGTAAATAACGAAATTAAGTCAGAAATAAATAAGTTCTTTGAAACCAGTGAGAACGAAGACACAATGTACCAGAATCTCTGGGACTCAGTTATAAAGGGAAATTTAGAGGGAAATTTATAGCACTAAATGCCCGCATCAGAAAGCGGGAAAGATCTAAAACTGACACCCTAACATCACAACTGAAAGAACTAGAGAAGCAAGAGCAAACAAATTAAAAAGCTAGCAGAAGACAAGAAATAACTAAGATCAGAGCAGAACTACTGAAGGAGATAGAGACACACAAAACTCTTCAAAAAATCAATGAACCCAGGAGCCAGTTTTTTGAAAAGATTAACAAAATAGATAAACCACTAGCCAGACTAATAAAGAAGAAAAGACAGAAGAATCAAATAGACACAATGAAAAATGATAAAGGGGATATCACCACTGATCCCTCAGAAATACAAACTAACCTCAGAAAATAGTATAAATACCTCTACACAAATAAACTAGAAAATCTTGAAGAAATGGATAAATTCCTAGACACATACACCCTCTGAAGACTAAACCAGGAAGAAGTTGAATCCCTGAATAGACCAATAACACGTTCTGAAATTGAGGCAGTAATTAATAGCCTACCAACCAAAAAAGCCCAGGACTAGACGGATTCACAGTCATATTTTACTAGAGGTACAAAGAGGAGCTGGTATATTTCTTTCTGAAATTATTCCAAACAATAGAAAAAGAGGGACTCCTCCCTAACTCATTTTATGAGGCCAGTATCATCCTGATTCCAAAAGCTGGCAGAGACACAAGAAAAGAAAATTTCAGGCTAATATCCCTGATGAACATCAATGTGAAAATCCTCAATAAAATACTGGCAAAGCGAATCCAGCAACACATCAAAAAGCTTATTCGCCATGTTCAAGTCAGCTTCATCTCTGGGATGTAACATATGCAAATCAATAAATGTAATTCATCACATAAACAGAACCAATGACAAGAACCACATGAATATCTCGATAGATGCAGAAAAGGCCTTCAATAAAATTCAACACCGCTTCATGCTAAAAACTCTCAATAAACTAGGTATTGATAGAACATAACTCAAAATAATAAGAGATATTTATGACAAACCCATAGGCAATATTATGCTGAATGGAGAAAAGCTGGAAGCATTACCTTTGAAAACTGGCATAAGTCAAGGATGCCCTCTCTCACCACTCCTATTCGACATAGTATTGGAAGTTCTGGCCAGAGAAATCAGGCAAGAGAAAGAAATAAAGGTATTCAAATAGGAAGAGAGGAAGTCAAATTGTCTCTGTTTGCAGATGAAATGATTGTATATTTAGAAAACCCCATCGTCCCAGCCCCAAAACTCCTTAAGCTAATAAGCAACTTCAGCAAAGTCTCAGGATACACAGTAAATGTGGAAAAATCACAAGCATTCTGATACACCAATAATAGACAAACAGAGAGCCAAATCATGAGGGAACTCCCATTCACAATTGCTACAAAGAGAATAAAATATCTAGGAGTACAACTTACAAGGGACTTGAAGGACTTCTTCAAGGAGAACTACAAACAACTGCTCAAGGAAATAAGAGAGGACAAACAAATAGAAAAACATTTTCTGCTCATGGATAGGAAGACTGAACATTGTGAAAGTTGCCATACTGCCCAAAGTAATTTATAGATTCAGTGCTACTCCCATGAAGCTACCATTGACTTTCATCATAGAACTAGAAAAAACTATTTTAAATTTCATATGCAACCAAAAAAGAGCCCGTATAGCCAAGACAATCCTAAGCAAAATAACAAAGCTGGAGGCATCAGGCTACCTGACTTCAAACTATACTACAAGGCTACAGTAACCAAAACAGAATGGTACTGGTATCAAAACAGATATGTAGACCAATGGAACAGAACGGAGGGCTCAGAAATAAGACCACACAAACGGGTGATATTCGACAAACCTGAGAAAAACTAGCAATGGGGAAAGGATTCCCTATTAAATAAATGTTGCTGGGAAAACCGGCTAGCCATATGCAGAAAACTGAAACTGGACCCTTCCTTACACCTTACACAAAAATTAACTCAAGATGGATTAAAGACTTAAATGTAAAACCTAAACCCATAAAAACCCTAGAAGAAAACGTAGGCAATACCATTCAGGACATAGGCACGGGCAAAGACTTCATGACTAAAATACCAAAAGCAATGGCAACAAAAGCCAAAATTGACAAATGGGATCAAATGAAACAGAAGAGCTTCTTCACAGCTAAATAAACTATAATTAGAGTGAACAGGCAACTTATAGAATGGAAGAAAGTAGTTTCGTTCTATCTGACAAAGGTCTGGTATCCAGAATCTACAAGGAACTTAAACAAATATATAAGAAAAAAAAACCAACCCCATCAAAAAGTGGGTAAAGGATATAAACAGACACTTCTCAAAAGAAGACATTTATGCAGCTAACAAACATATGCAAAAAAACTCATCATCACTGGTTATTAGAGAAATGCAAATCAAAACCACAATGAGATACCATCTCATGCCAGTTGGAATGGTGATCATTAAAAAGTCTGGAAACAACAGATGCTGGCAAGGATGTAGAGAAATAGAAATGCTTTTACACTGTTCATGGGAGTGTAAATTAGATCAACCACTGTGGAAGACAGTGTGGCAATTTCACAAGGATCTAGAACTAGAAATACTATTTGACCCAGAAATCCCATTGCTGGGTATATACCCAAGGGATTATAAACCATTCTACTATAAAGACACATGCACACATATGTTTATTGCAGCACTATTTACAATAGCTAAGACTTGGAACCAACCCAAATGCCCATCAATAATAAACTGGATAAAGAAAATGTGGTACATATACACCATGGAATACTATGGAGTCATAAAAAAGAATGAGTTCATGTCCTTTGTAGGGACATGGATGAAACTGGAAACCATCATCCTCAGCCAACTAACACAGGAACAGAAAACCAAACACTACATGTTCTCACTCATAAGTGGGAGTTGAACAATGAGAACACATGGACACAGGGAGGGGAACATCATACACCAGGGCCTGTCGGGGGTCGGGGACATAGGGAGGGAGAGCGTTAGGACAAATACCTAATGCATGTGGGGCTTAAAACCTAGATGACTGGTTCATATGTGCAGTAAACCACCATGGAGCATGTATACCTATGTAACAAACTTGCATGTTCAGCACATGTATCCCAGAACTTAAAGTAAAATAAAATAAATTAAAGTAAAATAAGAGAATTTAAAAATATTCTCTGAATTGACATAACCAGCTAGCATTAGAATGTCTATCTGAAAGTGTTTTTGTGATTTTGAGGTTGGTAATCCTATCTATTCATTGAATTATTCTTTTAACATCTACAATGATTGGACAGGCTGTTTTAAGCAGTGTTTCAAACTTTAAACTTTTAACAAAAAAATATTTTTCTGGTGTTTTAAAAACAAGCAAAAATGATATTAAGTTGTTAAAAATGATGACTGTAGAAAGAACATTTAAAAAAATTAGTACATCCATTTTTTATAAAGTGTTTAACATTAAATTTTTATATACTTTTATTATTTTTTACACTTAAAAATAAGTTTTATTATGTATAATTGATATACAATTAATACACATAAAGTATATAATTTGATACATTTTAGCTTATGTATACTCCCATGAAATAATTTTCTCCTCACAATGAAGGTGATAACATTTCCATATCTATCACCCCCAAAGTTTTCTCATGCCACTTTGTAATTGCCTCTCTAGTCCTTCAAAACCCTGTCCCCACCCGCTATCCCTGGGCAACTGCTAATTTAGCTTGTGTCACTCTACATTTGGAGGCATTTTCTGGAATTTTATGTATGACAGATTATGAACATGTACTCTTTTTTTAATTCAGTCTCTTCCATTTAGCATATTTATTTTGAGATTCATCCATGTGGTTGCCTAGGTAAATATTTCATTTCTTTTTATTGTGTACTATTCTATTGGAGAGCTATACCACGATGTGTTTATCCATTCACATGCTGATAGCCATTTGGGCTGTTTTCTCTTCGTGAGTTATAAAAATAAAGCTGTAATGATAATGTATAGCTGTGATTATATACCCTATGCTTTTGTTTCTCTTTGTCTAATGTGAAAAGTGGAATGGCTGGGGATCACATGGTCAGTGTATAATTAGCTTTTCAAGAAATTGTTTATTTGTACAATTGTACTATTTTATATTTTACCAGCAGTGTTTGAAAGTTTTAGTTTCTCAATGTTCTTACCAGTAATTTATCCTTTGTCAGGTATATGATTTGCAAAATATTTTCTCCTGGTCTGTGGCTTGTCTTTTTATTTTCTTACCAGTGTCTTCCAAAGAATAGAAATGAAATTTTATAAATTTTGACAAATCTAGTTTATCCTTTCATGGATGATGCTTTTGGTGTTTTTTTTTTTTTTTTTTTTTTTTTTTTTTTTTTTTTTGAGACGGAGTCTCGCTCTCTCGCCAGGCTGGAGTGCAGTGGCACCATCTCGGCTCGCTGCCACCTCTGCCTCCTGGGTTCAAGCGATTCTTCTGCCCCAGCCTCCCAAGTAGCTGGGACTACAGGCACGTGCCATCACGCCCAGCTAATTTTTTTTTTTTTTTTTTTTTTTTTTTTGACGGAGTCTCGCTCCGTCCCCCAGGCTGGAGTGCAGTGGCGCGATCTCGGCTCACTGCAAGCTCCGCCTCCCGGGTTCACGCCATTCTCCTGCTTCAGCCTCCGGAGTAGCTGGGACTACAGGAGCCAGCCACCATGCCCGGCTAATTTTTTTTTGTATTTTTAGTAGAGACGGGGTTTCACCGTGTTAGCCAGGATGGTCTCGATCTCCTGACCTCGTGATCCGCCCGCCTCGGCCTCCCAAAGTGCTGGGATTACAGGCATGAACCACCGCGCCCGGCCACGCCCAGCTAATTTTTGTATTTTTAGTAGGGCAGGATTTCACCATGTTGACCAGGATGGTCTGGATCTCTTGACTTTGTGATCTGCCCATCTCAGCCTCTCAAAGTGCTAGGATTACAGGTGTGAGCCACAACACCCAGACGCTTTTGGTGTTATATTTTAATATTCTTTGTCTAATCTAAGGTCACAATGATATTCTTGAATATTTCCTGTTATAATTTTATAATTTATGTTCATAATTTAGGTATATGATCAATTTTAAGTAATCAAGTGACATGAGGGATGAGATTAAAGTTTTTTAAATAGATAGGTATAAATATAGATATAGATATCTAATTGTCCAAGCACTATTTGTTCAAAAGATGCATCTTTCTTCACTGAACTGCCTGTTCATCTTTGTGGAAATGTTTTTTCATATGTGCGAGTCTATTTCTGTGCTCTCTATTCTGTTACACTGATGTATTTATTGATATATACATTGATATATTTATTGATGACATTGCCACACTGTCTTGAAGACTGTAGCTTCTACTAAATTTTAATAAATTGAGTCTACGGCCATACAGCCCTTAACTCACCCAATCTCTTCTAAATTTTAATAAAAGGTAGTGTTAATCGTTCAATACTGTCTTTTTTTTAAATGGGCTTTGGTTATTCTATGTCATTTACATCTGCTGATGAATCGCTTTGTCAATTTTTACAAAAACCCTGTTGTGATTTTATGTGGGATTATCGTGATGACATAGATCAAGTTGAGGAAAATGGACAACTTAGCAATATTTAAACTGTCTAACCTTCCACTATGGTAATATGTGTTTGTTAAGGACTTCTTCGTTTTTAATCTCAGCAAGTATTTATAGATTTTGGTATACAGGTCTTCCCTATATTTCCCAGATTTATCTCTAAATACTTTAAACATTTCAATGTTATTAAAGATATTATTTTTCTAATTTTACTTTCTGATTGTTCATTCCTAGCACATAAAATATAATTGATTTTTATATTGACCTTTTATCCTGCAAAGTTGCTAAATTTAGTTCAATGTTCCATTGGGTTTACCACATAGAGAATCATGCCACTTACAAATTAATACGATTTTCCTTCTGTCTTTCTAATCTGGATGCTTTTCTGCATTTTCTGTATTTTCTTGGCTAAAATATCCTACAATGTGAGTAATAGTGACAAGAGAAGACATCTTTGCATTTTTCCTGATCTTATTGAGGAAACATTCAGTATATTACCATTAAATATTATGTCTGATAGCAGGTGGAGGAAGCTTCCTTCTATTCCCAGTTTGTGAGAATTTTCATAAGTAATTGATATTGAATTTTGTCAAATTTGTGTGTCTGTTGAGATAATCATGTTTTCTATACTAATGTGATTATTATGTTGATTGATATTCAAATATTTAAGCTATCTTTAATGGATAAATGTTGCTTGGTTATCCTATATTATCCTTTTAGCACATTACTTGATTTAATTTGCTAAAAAGTATTAGTTTCAAGTTGGAACTTTAATTTGGATTTCCTTCTTGGCTCCTGAAGCTGGACATCTTTTTATATATTATTTGCCATTTTTAAGTCCTTTTAAGTGAAATATCCTTGCCCATTTTTAATTGTGTTAATATTTTTCTTGTTGAGTTTGGTGATTCTTTATATTTTTGGAATTGTGCAAGTCCCAGCTTGAATGTTTGTTTTGCAAATGTATCTTCCCTTTGCCCAGTGTGCTACTGTTTTTTTTTTTAATTCTCAGTGAGTGTTTTTCACAGAGAAAAAAAATTAATTTTGTTAAAGTCAAATTTATCTCATTTAATTTTATGAATCACATTTTTCGTATTATGTCTAGGAACTACTTGGATAACCCCAAGTCATAAATATTTTCTTGTTTTTTAACTCTTTTATAGTTTTACATCTTACATTTAGACCTATAATCCATACTGACATAATATTTCAAAAAAATTTTATGGATACATAACAGTTGCACATATTCATGAAGTACATGTGATATTTTAATACATGCATACGATGTGTAATGATCAAATCAGGGTAATCAGGACATGTATCACCTCAAACATTCGTTATTGTTTTGTGCTGGGAACATTCCACATCCACTCTTCTAGTTATTTTGAAATATACAATACATTTTGTTAACTCTAGTCACCCTTTTGTGCTATTGCACGCTAGATCTTATTGCTTATATCTAACTATATTTTTGTACCCATTAACCAACTGTCTTTATGCCCCACTCTTTCCTATCCTTCCTGGCCTCTGGTACCCACCATTCCACTCTCTACCCTCATGAGATCATTTTTTCAAAGTTCCCACATAAGAGTGAGAACATGTGGTTATTTGTCTTCCTATGCCTGGCTTATTTCACTTAATGTAACGTCTTCCAGTTCTATAGACGACATTGCAAATGACACGATTTCATTTCCTTTCATGGCTGAATAATATTTCATTGTGTATATGTACCACTTTTTTATTTTTAATTTATATTATTATTATTATTTTTATTATGAGATGGAGTTTCACTCTTGTTGCTCAGGCTGGAGTTCAATGGTGTGATCTCAGCTCACTGCAACCTCCGCCTCTCTGGTTCAAGCCATTCGCCTGCCTCAGCCTCCCGAGTAGCTGGGACTACAGGCACACGCCACCACGCCCAGATAAGTTTTTTGTATTTTAGTAGAAATGAGGTTTCACCTTGTTCACCAGGATGATCTCTATCTCCTGACCTCGTGATCTGCCTGCCTCAGCCTTCTAAAGTGCTGGGATTACAAGCAAGGGATTACATACCTGACCCGTACCACATTTTTTAAATGCATTCATGCATTGATGAACACTTAGGTTGATTCTATATCTTAACTATTGTGAATAGTGCTGCAATAAACATAAGAAAACAGATAGCTTTCTCATACACTGATTTACTTTCTTTTTTATATATACCCAGCAGTGGGATCAGTGGATCATATGGTAGTTTTATTTTTATTTTCTTGAGGAAGCTCCATACTCTTTTCCATAGTAGCTGTACTAATTTAAATTTCACCAACATTGTCCAAGTGTTCGCCTTTCTCTCTATCTTCACTAGCATCCATTATTTCTTTGTCAATTTGATAAAAGCCATTTAACTAGTGTGAGATAGTAACTCATTGTGGTTTTTAACTCATTGTGGTTTTTATTTGCATTTATCTGATGATTAGTAATGCTGAACACTTTTTCGTATACCTGTTGACCATTTATTTGTATATGTTCCTTTGAGAACCGTCTGTTCAGATCTTTTGTCCATTTTTAAATTTGATTAATTATTTTATCTCTTGCTCTTGAGTTGTTTAAGTTCCTTATATATTCTAGTTATTAATCTGTTACCTGTTTGAATAGTTTGCAAATGTTTTCTCCCATTCTACAGGTAATCTCTTCATTTTCTGATTGTGCCCTTGGCTGTGCAGAAGTTTTTAAGTTAATGTGATCTCTTGTCAATTTTTGCTTTGGTCGTGCTTTAGAGAACTTACACAAAAAAATCTTTGCTCAGACCAATGTCCTGAAACATTTCTCCAAAGTTTTTTTCTAGGGATTTGCTAGTTTCAGGGCTTATATTCAAATATTTAACCCATTTTGATTTAATTTTTGCCTGTGGTGAGAGATAGGGGTCTAGTTTCATTCTTCTGCATATGCATATTCAGTTTTCTCAGCACCATTTGTAGAAGAGACTGTCCTTTCCCCAATGTATATATTGGTGCCTTTGTCAAAAATGAGTTGACTGTAAGTGTATTTATTTCCGTGTTCTCTACTCTGTTCCACTGGTCTATGTGCTTGTTTTTATGGCAGTGCCATGCTATTTTGGTTACTATAGCTTTGTAGTAAAATTTGAAGTCGGGTAATGTGATGTCTCCAGCTTTGATCTTTTCCCTCAGGATTACTTTGGCTATTCTGGGTCGTTTGTGGTTTAATACAAATTTTAGCATTTGCTTTTTGTATTTTTGTAGAGAATGTCATGGGTATTTGAATAAGGATAACATTAAATCTGTAGATTTCTTAGAATAGTAAGACTATTTTAATAATAACAGATCTTTATTTTAAAAAATGTCGATTCTTTAATATGTCTTTCCATTTTTTTGTGTCCTCTTCAATTTCTTTCATCAATATTTTATAGTTTTCATTGTACAGATCTTATGCTTTAAGTGAGGTATCCTAAGAGCTAATAAACTTCTTAATTGAAGTTTATTCTTAAGTATTGTTTTATTTGTAGTTACCACAAATGAGATTGTTTCTTTGGTTTCTTTTTCATAGAAAAGATAGTGTTAGTCTATACAAACACTACTGATTTTTGTTGATTTTGTATCTCTTTTTGTATTTTATTGAACTCATTTATCAGTTATAATATGATTTGGCTGTCTCCCCACCCAAATCTCATCTTGAATTATAGTTCCCATAATTCCCACATGTTGTGGGAGGAACCCAGTGGGAGATAATTGAATCATGGGAACAATTTTCCTCATACTGTTCTCATGGCAGTGAATACGTCTCATGAGATCTGATGGTTTTATAAGGGGCATCCCCTTTCACTTGGTTTTCATTCTCTTTTTGCCTGTCACCATGTAAGACATGTCTTTCACCTTCTGCCATGATTGTGAAGCCTCCCCAGCCACGTGGAACTGTGAGTCCACTAAACCTCTTTTTCTTTATAAATTACCCAGTCTCAGGTATTTCTTTGTCAACAACATGAGAACAGACTAATACAAGTTCTACTAGTCTTTTGGTGGAGTCATTAGGTTTTTCTAAATGTAAGATCGCATCATCTTCAAGCAAGGATAGTTTGACTTCTTCCTTTCCAATTTGAGTGCCCTTTCTTTCTTTCTTTTTTTCTAATTACTCTGGCTAGGAGTTTCAGTACTATGTTCAATAAAAGTGTTGAAACTGGGAATCCTTCTCCTTTTCCAGATCTTACAGGGAAGGCTTTCAGTTTTTCACTGTTCAATATCATGTTGTGGGTTTGTTGTATTTGGGCTTTATCCTGTTGAGGTTCATTCTTTTTATAACACGTTTGTTTATTTTTTATCAGGAAAGAATACTGAATATTATTTAATGCTTTTTTGGCTTCTATTGAAATCATCATATATTTTTGGTCCTTCATTCTGTTGATGTGAATTTTGAGATAATTTTGGTACGAAGTATGAGACTTAGGTGCAAAATTATTTATTTGCAGATGGATATGCAATTGCTTCCTCATTATTTGTTGAAAAGGTTAATTGTCCACTAAATTGTTTTCACATCTTTGACAAAAATTGATTAGCCATATTTTTGTAAATCTATTTATGAACTCTATATTTAGTTCCACTGATGTTTTGCAAAACACTGTTATAGTAACTGTTTTAATTCCCTTGTCTGCTAATCTAATACTTGTGGGTTAGTTTTGATCAATTAATATTTCTTCTCATTGTGGATCACAATTTCTGACTTCTTTGTATTGCTAGAAATATTTCATTGAATACTAGACATTATGAAATATAGTTTGTGTGATGTTGGATATTTTTATTCTCCGATAAATGTTCTTGAATTTTTTCTGTGACCAAGTCGAATTAAAAATAGTTTGATTTTTCCAATCTTGCTTTTATGATATGTTTGGCAGGGCTTGATGAGTATTTACCCTAAGGCTAGTTATTCCACATTACTGAGGCAAGGTCCTTCTAACTAATCTATCCAATGTCCTACAAATGATAAACGTTTCCAATCTGGCTGAGAACATACAGTTTTACCCCCTCTGTAGAAAAGAGAAACTGATCCTTGTAATCCATCAGACAATTCATCCCTTAGCTTCATACACTTTATTTACTTGCAAGTGATGATCAGCACTCAGTTGAATACTCAAGAGAACTTTTGCAGATCTTCATGGTTCTTTCTGTGCATTTCTCTTCTCTCCAGTGTTCTGTCCTTCACACTTCAACTAACTTGTTCTCCAGTGACTCTGAGCTATGTCCTTTGACTCAGAGACTTTCCCTGGCTCTAGTTATGCACCTCCTCCCTCTGCGGTGGCAAGGAACCTCTTTCAGTGCAGTAAGCTGAGGCAATCATAGAGTTTACCTCATTTGTTTCTCATGTCTCAGGTTCACTGTGCATCATTGGTTGTCTTTTGCAGTTTTGAATGCCATCCTTTCATATATTTTCTCTGTATTTTTTTCCATAGTTTCAGGTGGGAAAGTAAATCCAGTTCCTGTCATTCCATCAAATGAGAAGTTTAGATTTCTACAGGTTTTTAAAGTAATGATATAAATCTTTTATTTGAATGAAACTGTGTCATATTTTGAGAAAAATTGAGAAGATTTTACTCATATTAACATACATAAAAACATGACTTTTAATTATAACAACATTTGTAGTAAAATGGGACACTTCCTTCTCCTGGGACTGATTTTTAGATATTGGTTAAAAATTTGATTTTAATCTATGTTGAAATGAGGTAATTTGCACACATTTGGATAAATATGAATTCCTTTCTTACTCTCTTCTCAATACTCAATATAATAATTACTAATTAAGTCACTTTTATCAGAATACTTAAACTTCAACAATTTATTTTAGTTTTTGAAGCAAATAAATGAAGGTCTTACCTAAAAGTATGAAGCAAAAAAAGAAAAAAAAAGCAGAATTAGACTATTTAGAGAATGAAACAAGATTTTTTTGAACAGTGTTTTATAATATGGCAAGGTTCAGTCAGTTGGCACTTTTTTTCTTACCTGTACCCGTAATAGAATAACATCTCTGAAGTGTAAAAAGAAAATCTTCAAAATAAGTTAAACAGCACTTAGTACTGCCACCTTAGCCTTTTAAAATTGCTCTTTAATTTATTTTTGCTTTGCTTATATAACTGGAATAAAACATGGTGAGCTGAAGAGAAATGCCACAGAGAAATGTCTGGAATCCTGGAGAAGATGCACAGTCCTGTTGTCTTTAAGTCCACAATTTAGGGGAATTTGTGAAAGTGCTTTGCATTACATGAGGAATCTGATATTTCTTCCAAGTTTAAGCAACAACAACAACCAAAAAAGACAGAAAAGAGAAAAGATACTATAATGGTGACAAGGAATAGGCAAATAATACAGTTTATATTTTTCTTAAAATAAAATAACATTTTGATATTTCTCATATTAGAACTTCTCTTTCAACTCAGGGTTGCTCTAAGAACTGTGGAACATACGTTACACATTAAGAGACAACAGCTGCAATCATTTTTATCAGGTCAGATAATTGTGTTTCCAACCCTAGAGATACCATTTGACCCACTTTCCTGGTTCTCCCTGAATCTAGCCTGAGTCACTTTCAGAATCTCCATGGTGCCATGCAGAAGATAAGTTAGCTCACTTTAAATAGGCTTCAAAAAGACTGACATATAAATATTAAATAATAAAGAGATTATTTTAACCATGCTTATATTTTGTCGGGTAAATAAGATAGTAATTCAATAAAACAAAAGGTAAGTTTATTAATTTTATGATAAATTAATTAGTAATGACAATTATGGGTCTTTTCCCTTCTAATAATCACAAATCTTCTTTGGCTGTTAAAAAATATAGGGACATCTTATCATCTTCAAGCATATATTTGCAAAATAGCTCACTACAAAGTATTATATAGTGTGGGAATATTACCAGTTTTATGTATTTGTTAATCTTTGGATAGATAGTATTTGCCAAATGGAAGAGACCCCAGAAGATTTTGAGTGTAACTTTATTTAGAAACAATGTAATGTGCTTTTGTTTGAAAATCTGCTCTATAAAGCAGGGTATAAATTTGTTTGTCTTTCTCAAAGTTTACAAAATCATCTCAATATTTTCTGAAAGTCTTCTCACATTTTTAGTATATCTGTTTTCTGACATATTTTACATGGTTTTCAGTAACATAACAACAGATGCAGACAAATATTAATAATAAGGAGAAAATTAATCAGCCCACATATGCAAATAAACAAATTAAAGAAAATTTAAAAATAGTAAAATCTTCTCTATAAATGCTAGAGGCAACAGCAAAATCAGAAGAGTTCCAAGCTAAACCAGTCATTACATTCTAGAAAGAATAATATGCTGCTTGAATTTCAAATATCTTCAGGCTATTTGATATTTACTATCATCTAATAAATTGATTATATCAGTACCTTGACAAACACTGTAACTGTTCTAGGAAGAAAAGCAAGAGATTTCAGAAATTATGGACTGTTCTATATGTATTGTTAATGTGGCTCTACAGATATCTCTCTACTATGATATTCTGTCCCCAAATTATGCAGAATTTCTACTTCTTCAAGACATTATGAAATTCTTTGGAGGTTTTCCTTTGTTGGCTCTCTAATCTGATAGATATTTCAATGTCTTAACTCTAAATTTTATTGCACTTATATTTTAAAATAATCACTTATTTAAAATGACAGCATTAATTTTTAAAAATAAAATTGTAAATATGTATAATTTTCAAAGTGAAAAGTGTTTTAACACAATATATAATTTAGAAGATTAAAAAGATGAAAAAAAGAAGTTGATACCAGCAGATCAAATTGAGAGTCTATTGTTTGGCTTTCTTTTCTCCAATCATAGGAAGAATTGATGTATCAAAGGCAAATGATATATATTAGATAATGTATATCTTAAAACGTTAATAATAATCCATTCTAAATAACATAAAATAGAAACTTTGAAATGTAGTCAGTAGTGATTGCAAAACTGTTGACATAATAAATGCATATGCTGGCTAGTAAGCATGCAAACTTTTATTGGTATATTTGTGATATGGTTTGGCTGTGTCCCCACCCGACTCTCAACTTGAATTGTATCTCCCAGAATTCCCATGTGTTGTGGGAGGGACCCAGGGGGAGGTAATTGAATCATGGGGGCTGCTCTTTCCAGTGCTGTTCTAGTGATAGTGAATAAGTCTCGTGAGATCTGATGGGTTTATCAGGGGGCTCCTCTTTTGCTTTTTCCTCATTTTCTCTTGCCACCACCATGTATGAAGTGTCTTTCACCTCCCACCGTGATTCTGATGCCTCCCCAGTCATGTGGAACTGTAAGTCAAATTAAACCTCTTTTTTCCCCAGTCTCAGGTATGTCTTTATCAGCAGCGTGAAAATGGACTAAGACAATTTGCTTTACATTTTCATTTTTATAAAAGTAATTCTGACACTATGTATTTATTTATTTATTTATTTATTTTTATTATTATTATTTATTTTGAGACAGTTTCCCTCTTGTTGCCCAGGCTGGAGTGCAGTGGAGCGATCATGGCTCACTGCAACTTCTGCCTCCTGGGTTTAAGCAATTCTCCTGCCTCAGCCTCCCGAGTAGCTGGGATTACAGGCATGTGGCACCATGCCCGGCTAATTTTATATTTTTAGTAGAGATGGGGTTTCTCCATGTTGTTCAGGCTGGTCTCGAACTCCCATCCTCACGTGATCTGCCCACCTCGGCCTCTCAAAGTGCTGGGATTACAGGCGTGAGTCACCACACCCGGCCCTCACCCTAATTTTTGATTGCCTTATAGTGTTATTTTAAGACATATTTAAAAATTCTCATGTAAAATTAAATTCATATTTATTCCATTAATGTGTATGTATAATGTCCATATATCTGTACATATATATATGAATGATACACACACACATACACACACCATATGTATTATAAATATTTACCAAAAAGATTAGAAAGTTAGAAACATGAGGGATTTACCAAAATTAAAAAAAATCAAAGAAACAAAACAACAAAAAATCCTAACAAAAGTGAATATATTGTTTTATGTGAGAAAAATTGTCAGTAAATTAAAAATTAATATCACTTATTTATACATAAATCTGTATCAGTACATTTCTAACGCATATATATAAAAAAGTATATACACAGTGAGATTAAAGAAGTAAAGAACTAAAGAATTGCTAAATTATGTAGTTAGAACGTAATACAAAGACAACACATATTTATCACAAATATAATAATTCATGCACTACAGTATTTACTGTGGTTCAAAAGAAAGCCATTGAGGCTTGAAATGGCTCATTTGTTTTAAGTAAAGTAGAAAAAAGTGTGCATAGAGTATAATTACTGTGAGTTAAAACAAGCAATTTGAAGGCAATTATTTGGAAATGCATGATTTATATGAACTAATTTTAAGCCAACATACTGAATTCACGTTCATGTTTGCTATTGTTGTATACTTTGTGGGATGACTTATATCTACTTGTGATTTCTTTCCTTGCTACACAAACCAGTTGTGTATGCTAAATATGAAAACACTGTACTCTTTGCTGCTGTTCCACCTTCTCTCCCCTCCAAATATCTCCTCTCTTTGTTCAGCTCTACTGCATATATTCAGGTTAGGAGAAGGGGAGTAGAAAGTTTCAATGATACAGAACATTCAATAATAACTTACCTTTGCGTGTATCATTGTTCCTACGGTTACTCAAGGAATTTGTAAGGCCCTCTAAACCTTAGAACACCCCAAAGCTGGCTGGCAGTTATAGTTATCTTTAGGTTTTTACTTGGGGAAACAATTTGATCAAGGTCAAGGGAAGAAATAGTTGCCAAAAATCTCAGTCTCCTCATGAATTATTTCCACAATGTGTTGTTCTCTATATTAAGTACTATAGGATGACTATTTGAGGGCGACTGAATAACATCGTGATAATGAAGGCAGAGAAGGACTTACAATTTACATATTTTTAAAAGAGTTTTGCTAGTAATTATCAAACCTAATGGGCCTAAAAACTTCTATCAGCCTGCAAAGTTGTATTAATTCTTAACATTTTTTCAAGTAGCAGCAGGTGACTATTCTTACCGTCTTCAATTTCTTTACCTTTCCCCTGTAGGTAAAATCATTGCCATATGCTTCTTGGAAAAACATAATAACCTGGACTAATGGTTAATGATATCCTTATTGAATACTGGAGAGGTAGAGGAAAAGGAAAACAGGAAATTTACTAATAAAATAAACCAACATAGATTTCCAGGTGTTTAGAAATAATTGAAATTTTGAAATCCTGAATATAAAAGCAGAATACTTTATAAAAAACAATGATGACAAATGTTAACTTACTGCAAGTTTAATGTATATCAGTCGTGGACCTAAGCCTGTATTGTATGTAACATGATGTACTTCTTAGAAATACCCTGAGGTTGTTACTTGATCTTTATTTATTAGTACACAAATCTGAGACACAGAGTTTATTTTCTGAAGGTCACCATGCACTACTTGGGCCATCAAAATGTATTTTAATATGTGGAACCTAGATGGTATTTTAAATATTACTTTACACAGAATAGCATTCTCTAAAATAGTAGTATTGCCTCAAAAGTCTATATATCACAAATGAACTGAAGTCCTGTAAATAATCTGATGACTTGTGCCTATATAGAGTTATTTGAAGTTAATAATATTCGTAATACAAGTCTTATTAACTTAATTATTGTTGAATTGCAAATGAATCTAAATTATTTTACAATTTAAAGTTGTCTGTAACTTGCATATTTTGGATATTCTTGAATTTGAGCATCTATTTAATAATAGGGTTCTTTCTGTGGAAATTTTTGGTTATATTTCAGATAATATTCTCTTAGATATGAAGGTACAAATTATATAGCAAACAATAGGAATGCTTTTAAGAGTGGATCAATGTGATCTCTGAAATGTTCCAGAAATCATTTGCAGTTCAGAAAAAAATAAACATTTTTATGTGTGCTGAATATTTATCTAATTATTAAGCAACATTTTTTGGCAAACATCTGTTATGGATAAACTATGCACTAGGATATGGGTTCAGCATTATTGATAAGAGTGATTCATATAACTTGATTTTTGCCCTTAAGAAGCTTACAATGTGTCCATATATATATATGTGTATATATGTATGTCTGTGTATATATGTATATATATGTATATATATATGTGTGTGTATATATATATATGTATATATATATATATGCCCGTGTGGTGAATTAAGTTCATAGTCTGAAATTCATTCAAAATGCTGCCCTGCTTCCATTGCCTTTGAAGACTGTTGAGAAAAAGACATCTATACAGCGATACACTGTTTCAATACATACAAGCTATTTTTCTGGAGAACCCAGTCCTGGACAGTTCTGGTATACCTGCCTGGAAGACTGCCTATTTCCCCCACTTTCTGGAGATAACTAGTGAAGGGGAGGGTAAGAAACTTCTTTGGGGGATAGTGAAGCTGATGCTCCAGAAAAAATTGTACTTTTGTTTTATCCCTAAACCCCCACCCCAACATTTTATCTTTCCCACTCTGAGCCCAATAAGTAGTTTATGAAGTTGATTGTCTAATTCTTTGACATCACCCTTAAGCCACAAAAAGTAACTCCCCAAGAAAGGACTGGAAAGGGCTGAGTTAGTGAGGACTTAAGAGGTTTAATAAAGCCAACACAGCTAAGGCACAGGTATTTGGACACCATTCCACCATGATTCACTGAGAAAGTGGGTACAATTAACATTTTTGAGAGATTAAAGAAACCCACACAAAAATCAGCATTAATTATGGTCATGTGAATCCCTGAAGAGAAATAATATATAGACTGCAGGTCTACAAATGGCAGGTGCCAGAACAACTTCTAGGGTAGCTGGTATCTGTAGGTGTCTCTGGATTTGACAGAGCTGAGCACTGAGTTCTACTAACCCGTTATTCCAGACAAAGTCCCCTTGACTTGGCTTAGCTCATAGGCAGTAGAATCATCTTGCCTCAAAAGCTTGCAGAGTTCTGGCTGGGGAATTGGGCCAGCAGGACTAGACCATCAGAAAGGATAAGCAGCATCTATCTCTTTACGGAGAGCACAGTTTCAAGAGTCCCACATGACCAAAAGGACTGATGGCAGCAACAGCAACAAAGACCAAAGAGATTTGGTGATTCCTGGTGCTGGCTAGAAATTAGACTGTTCAAATTCTCATGTATGAGTTCATCATCTGGCACCAATTCATTTTATAATAATTTCACAACAGAAACAAACCAAGGTTTTTGCATTTAGTCAGATCTTTATTCAAATCTGGATCCTAATAGCTATACTACTTACCAGGTCTGAGAAAAACACCTCATTTCTGAAAGCCATGGTACCTTCAACACAAAATGGTAATAATTACATTAATTACATCCAACACTGGTGGTTCAATAGCACCACTGTTATTTTCCACATGACTTTTAGGTATTAGGCACTATGCTTGGTGTGAAAAATACACACACAAACAAAGAGAAAAGTATGGGCTAAGTTATTGAATAGTTTTGATGACATGAACAGTTTTCTTTAGTGCGGTTGATCCTCAGACAACAAGGGTTTGAAATGCTTGCGTCCACTTACATGCAATATTTTTTTTCAATAAAAGCTACACCAAATGTGCCTGGCTCTCAACTTCCATTTCATCCAACTTTTCTACCCCTGCCACCTCACAGCAAGACCAATCCCCCTCTTCCTCCTTCTCTTCAGCCTACTCAGTGTGAAGACAAAAAGGATAAAGAGCTTTGTGATGATCCAATTCCACTTAATAAAGAAAATATACTTGCTCTTCCTCTGTGATTTTGGTAGTAACATTTTCTTTTCTCTAGCTTACTTTATTGTAATAATACAGTATATAATACATATAAAATACAAAATATGTGTTAATCGACTATGTTATCAGCAAGGCTTCTAGACAACAGTAGGCTGCTAGTGGTTAAGTTCTGGGGTAGTCAAAAATTATACATGGATTTTTGACTGTGTTGGGGGCATCAATGACCCTAACCCTCACATTGGTCAAGGGTCAACTGTAATTGACAGAATCATTACATTTTAGTGGGGGGTCTCCAAGATCACGTTACTGTACCACTTACTCAGTGACAACTTCATCTTTGTGATTTCTTTGACTGAAGTTTGAATTTCTGTTTAAACCCCATGATACAAGGATATTTCAAAAGTAATTTGGAAAATGTGTATACTATAGAGCCATATTCAGCATTTGTCCTAGTCCATTATTAATTTTAGGATCTTGTTCCCATGGTCGAATTTCGGCCTCAGGTTTTTCATCTATGATAGGGAGAATATTAATAAAAATATCTTCTCTACTTAACTCACAGGGTTATCATAAACCTGAAACAAAATAATATGTGTAAAATTATTCTGCAAATGTTAAAACTCTGGGCAAATAATAGCAAATGTTTATGTTTTGCTGTTAGAACCAACAAGACACCACTGTTTCAAAGAGGGTGATTTATTCACTATTCCCTTAAAAATACCATGTGCATTTTTTCCCTGTATTTCTTCTCCTCCCTTGTCACTGGTTAAAATTATCCTTACTACTGCTGTCTGTGAGTTCAAATCATTTTCTTCTTATTATTCTTCTTTCATCTCGAATTCCAATTTCTTCACGAATTCTAGAAAAAAGAATCAGAAACCTGAATTCCAATCTCAACCATTAAGTTATTCAGTGTTCTGAGCCTTGGTTTTCTTCCTTATAAAGTATGGAAATTTATTTCCACTATTATTAAAAGAGAGTAATAAATACTAATATATGTAAATCACTGGCATGTAAATACAGAATACAATGTGATGTGTTCTTTCTTCCATCTTCCACATCATTCAGCTCCGTAGAATACTGATTTTGAATAGTAGTGGGCCTTTGCTATTGAGTTGCTTTTTTTTTTTTTTTTTTTTTTTGGAGACAGAGTCTGGCTGTTTCGCCCAGGCTGGAGTGCAGTGGTGCAATCTCCGCTCACTGCAAGCTCTGCCTCCCAGGTTCACGCCATTCTCCTGCCTCAGCCTCCTGAGTAGCTGGGACTACAAGGGCCCACAACCACGCCCGGCTAATTTTTTTTGTATTTTTAGTAGAGACAGGGTTTAACCATGTTAGCCAGGATGGTCTCGATCTCCTGGCCTCATGATCCGCCTGCCTCAGCCTCCCAAAGTTCTGGGATTACAGGCGTGAGCCACTGCGCCCGGCCGAGTTATTTTATTTATATCTTTAACATGCTCAAAGCCCCTTGAAGGCAGAAACTGTTTAATACACACTTCTATCTTCAGCAGTTCTGAGCTGCTATGAACTAAATATTTATGTCCCACCCAAGCTCATATATTGATACCTTAGCCCCCAGTGAGATGGTGTTAGGAAGTGGGGTCTTGGGAGGTAATTAGATTCTGAGTTTGGAGCCTCCTTAATAAGATTGTTGTCCTTCATAGAAGATGATGAAAGCTCCTCTGTTTATCTCTCTGCCATGTAAGAAAACAATAGACAGTCATTTGTAAACCATGAGGCATCTAGCATAATCCAGCCATGAGAGCACTCTGATCTTGGACTTCTAGCCATCAAAACTGTGAATGAATCAGCAGGGAAACTGAATTGAAACAGTAAGAGAATGCCCAGTAAATTACTGATTTTATAAGATTAACAATTCATTCTGATCATTTACTTACAGCTTGACTAAAGTTAAGTGCATAGTGCCAACTTTATTCCCATAGGAAATGTAAGTTTTCTCTGCACCTGAGAAGACTGTGTCACAAATGGAATTTCAGGGGTAATGCGACTTTTGCAGGGGCAAGCCCCAAATAATAGGGGAAAGGTCTGACCATCCTGATGAGACCATTGCATTGGTTGTCTTGAGGACACAGGAGAATTTGGAAGAAAGAAGGAAAGTGACACCTGAATGTGGTGTGACTACTCATCTGAAGAGAAAATATCTGTCAGAAATATACAGAATAAACATAGGCTTCTATCAATGTGACTTGGCTATCACCAGGGTGACATAAATGCAATAATGGCTTGCTCTTCTCCAGGGTAACCCAATCAGCTGAGTTTACCCCATTTTTAAAAACCACTTAACTTTAAACTGTGTACTAGGTGAAAACCTTTCTCATCAATTAGTCACTTACTATTTCAATGATGTGTCTTTCTGCCCCTATTTATCCATGGTAGTGCTGTCTTAAATATAAGAGCCTAAAGGACGTAGACAAGCTCTCTGGGATTATTATTTATACTTAGCAATGGCTTTGCTTCACTGGATGCTGCTTAAGTGCTGAGCATGCAGTATCCAAAGCAAGTGCTGATTTTAAACAAAGGACCTGAAACAACTTTATTTCTTGGTACCATAATAACACTAGCAGAAAAAAATTCTGTTGGAGCATTTCTTGCAGATAATTTCCAGTGACAAGAAACAGATCAAAGATAGAAGAAATGTCTTTCTGTGCTCTCTGGAGAGATGCTGAAAGTGACTGTGCAGCACTTACAGCTGCTGAAAACAGATTAGAAAGTTAAAGGGCTTGATACCAAACATGATTTCATTAAAAAGCCTGTGCTTTATTAATCTTGTTATCTGTTATTGTTTAAATCAGGAGCCATACAGCAGAAGGGTGAGAAAAAGAGAACAGTGAAACAGAAGGGGCTTTTATATTCTCTCTGGAGTCACCATGGAAATTATTTAAGGTGTCAGTGTCCACATGTATATGTAGATGTTCCTATTGCAGTTCATCTCCATATATTCATCTGAAATGTCCCCAGAATATGTAACATACATTCCAACTCATATGATGCATGTATGTGATCTAAAGAAAATGAACATTTTAATCAAAATAATGGATAATTGCATGTTACCAGAACAAATATATAACTTGATATAATTTTGCTTCTAAGGTAAATATCTTATTAATTTTGCATGCAGTAACTTTATTAAATGCACAGAGGCAGACACTTCGGTTCCATAATGATTGATAAGAAAAATAAGAAATCCCTCCTCTAAGTCATTTGGCTCACTATGAATGCTTCTCAGATGCTTCCATCTATAAGTGGAAAGAGACAGCAGAAAATAACACTGGCCTGTGGTTTGGAATATCTGTAGGTAATGTAGAAGCTCTTAAACAGATTACCCAAAGGATGACTTAGGAAACATTTTTATAGCATACCAGCTTGGATTCCTCTCTGATTTGGTTAGTTTGTACAGGGTGAGTTAGGATTACATACTTGGAAAATTCTCCCCAAAGTAATTTTAGTATGTACAGCAATTTAAGAATATGGCAGTAATATAACATTTCTGCTATGTATTGCTGGCAAACATTTAGCCTCTTTGAAAATTAGTGCCCTCATTTGCCGATATCTTGTATTGTCACTACTTGCCTTTGAGACTTAGGTTCTCCAGTGCACCGAAGTTCTCTAAGTGTATTGGAGAAGATCTCAGGCAATGAAACAGCGTTGTTAATATTGTGATTTTTTTATCTGTTGAGCTTTGAAAATACCAAAAAATGATGTAATTAGGTGTTTTAGTGATCCAGTTATATATAGGGTCATAGATAGCAACTTTATATACTTTGTATAAAAATTAGAAGTACTCTAATAGTGTAACATATTAAATTGTCTTTATCATAATTTAAGTGTATCATTTAACAACATCAGAACAAGTTTTACCTTATGACGTAGACATACGTCTTTGGCAAGTGGGTTGAAGGGCACAGCGCTATTTTCAGACACAGTGTTCTGTCTGAAAATCTGTCACTGACCTCAAGTTTCTACCATGATAAATTCATTCTTTAAGGATATACATACATAAATATACATGTATAGATTTATTTGAAAGAACTGACTCACCCAGTTGTGGGGACTAGCAAGTCAGAGATTTGCAGGTTAGACCCATAGGCTGAAACACACAGGCTGGAGATGATGTTGCAAGCTTGAGACCAAATTTCTTTCTTTTGGGGAAATCTCAAGTTTCACTCTTAAGGGTTATCAGTTGATTGGATAAGTCTATCCACATTATCAAGAGTAATCTCCTTTACTTAAAAATCAGCTGATTGTAAATGTTAAGTATATCCATCAATGCCTTCATAACAACACCTAGATTAGTATAAAACTGAACAACTGGGTACTATAGCCTAGCCAAGTTGACACATAAAATTAAACATCACACTTGTTGATAAAATTTAAATAGAGAATACAACAGAAAACATTTTGTTGACTTTTTGTCATTGGAAATTTCAAACATATAAACAAATAGAATAGTTTTAGTGTAGTCCATCACATCAACAGGCTAAAAAGGAAAAATTACATGATCATATCAATAGAGGTAGCAAGCATTTGACAAAGTTCAACACTCATTTATAATGCAATAAGACAAGAAAACAGAATAAAACTTAAAAAAATGAAAGCTTCCTCGGAAAGAAAAAAATAAAACTATATTTGTTTATCAAGTATATGTTCACATATACAGGAAATCTCAAAGAATCAACGATGACAACAAAAACAGCAAAAGTCTCCCAGAACTAATAAAGGATTGCAGCAAGTTTGCAGGATATAAGGTTAATATACAAAAGTCAATCATTTTCTTATATATCAGCAATAAACAAGTAAAATTTGAAATCAAAAGCAGAATGCAATTTATATTAGCATTCCCCAAAAATATAACACATAGGTATAAATCTAACGAAATATGTACATGATCTAGATGAGGAAACCTACAAAACTCTCATGAAAGAAATCAAAGGAGAATAAAATAAATGTATACAATTATGATTTGTCAATTAAATAATATAAATAAATAAATGAGATATTTCATGTTCATGGAGTGGAAGACAATATGTTTAAGAGGGCAGATCTTTCTAACTTCGTCAATAGAATCAATGCAATCCCAATCAATATCTCAGGAAGTTGTTTTGTGGGTATTGAAAAACTAATTCTAAGGTTTATATGCAGAGGCAAAAGACCCAGAATAGGCCACACAGTGATGAAGAAAAACAAAATTGGAGGATTGACACTATCTGATTTCAAGATTTACTACAAAGCTACAGTAATTGAGACAGTGTGGTATTGAGGGATGAACAGGTAAGTAGATTGATGGAACAGAATAAAGAGCCCAGAAAGAGATCCAAATAGGTATATTCAACTGAGTTTTTACTAAGGAGCAAAGGCAAGACAATGGAGCAAAGATTGTCTTTTAAACAAATGGTGGCAAAACAACTAGGCATCTACATGCAAAAAACCCAAAATAGACTCATACGTTATATGCTTCACAAAAATTAACTTAAAATGGATTATAGACCTAAATGTAAAATGCAAAACTATAAAACTCTTGGAAGATCACCAGAGCAGAAAAATTAGATGACGTTGGGTAGCATGATAACTTTTTAGATACAATGTAAAAAGCACAATCTATGATAGAAATAACTTATAGGCTGAACATTATTGAAATGAAAAACTTCTGGCTGGATGCGGTGGCTCACACCGGTTATCCCAGCACTTTGGGAGGCCGAGGTAGGTGGCTCACTTGAGGTCAGGAGTTCGAGACCAGCCTGGCCAAAATGGTGAAACCCTGTCTCTACTAAAAATACAAAAATTAGCTTGGCTTGGTGTCACGTGTTTGTAATCCCAGCTACTTAGGAGGCTGAGGCAGGAGAATCACTTGAACCTGGGAGGTAGAGGTTGCAGTGAGCTGAGATGGCACTGCTGCACCCCAGCCTGGGCGATGGAGCAAGACTCTGTTAAAAAATATATCTATATATATTTATATTATATATATGTATATATAGTCAAGAGGATGAAGATACTAGCAACACACTGGGAGAAAATATTTGCAAAAGACCTGTATGATAAAGGACTATTATTCAAAACATACAAATAACTCTTAAAACTCCATCTCATCAAAAAAGATATATAAATGGCAAATAACCATATGGAAAGATGGTCCAGACCATATGTCATCATAGAAATGCAAATTAAAATAACAACGAGATACTACTACAAACCTATTAGAATGGCCAAAATATAGAACTCTGACAACACCAAATACTGACAAGGATGTGGAGCAACAGCAACTCTCAGTCATTGCTGGTGGAAATGCAAAGTGGTACAGCCACTTTGGAAGACAATTTTGCAGTTTTCTACCAAACTACACACCCTATTACTATAAGATCTAACAATCATTCTACTTGATAACTATTCAAAAGAGTTGAAAACTTATGTCTACACAAAACCTGCACACAGGTGTTTATAGCAGCTTTATTGATAATTGCCAAAACTTAGAATCAACTAAGCTGTCCTTCTGTAGGTTAATTAGTAAACAAATTGTGGTATATCCAGGTAATAGAATATTATTCAGCATTAAACAGAAATAAACCATAAAGCTACAAAAAGACATGTAGGAAGCTTAAATACATATTACTAAAGTGAAAGAAACTGATCTATAAAGGCTATATACTATATGATTACAACTACACAACATTTTGGAAAAGACAAAACTATGGAGACAAAAAAAAAAATCAGTGGTTGTCCAGGAGTTTAGCTGAGAGAAAGAGATGAACAGGTGGAGCGCAGAAGATTTTTAGGGTAGTGAAAATGCTCTGTGTGATACAGTAATTATAGATATGTGTCACTGTACATTTGTCCAAACCCATAGAATGCATATCTCCAAGAGAGAGCCCTAATGTAAACTGTGGGTTTTGGGTGATAATGAGCTGTCAGTGTAGGTTCATCAACTGTAACAAATGTATCATGCTGGTGGGGAATGTTGATAATGTATGTGGGGCGGGTGGCAGGGGGTTTTGGGAAATATCTGTACCTTCCTTTCAACTTCGCTGTGAACTTAACACTGCTCTAAAATATAAATGTTTAAAACAACAACAACAAACATGAATAATATAGTGGGATCCCATGTTCCCTTCACCTAGTTTTAACAGTTATCAACTCAGACAGTATTATTTCACCCATAATCTCAGTCCATGTTTCCCCTGCCCAATAATTTCTTTTAAATTAAGTCCTAAACACCATGTTATTTCATGCATAAATATTAAATGTTATATTTAAAATCTGATGACTCTCCTAAATAACAAAACTAAAACCATAACTAGAACACCATTTGACCTGCAATAATAAAACTGTCAATAATTCTTCAGTTTCATAAAATGCCCCCAAACTGTGTATATTTGATAGAGGAAATGGATGTGAGATTATATGGAGAGTGGGACATTGCTCAGAAAAGAAATGCTGGGATTTCATGCATCATTAGAAGTACCTTAAAATTAAGGAGTAGAGTGATTAGTGTGGATAAAATGAAGGCTAGAAACAAAAAAAAAAGGGGGGTTGGCCGTAAAGTATTTCTTATACCTTATACTTTTTATTTCTGTATAGCCGGCTTGGTTAAATATATGCTAAGATACTCAGGAGAACTTTACTTTCCACTTTCCACTTTTATTGTCAACTCTGCAGGAAAAAAAAAAGTACTCCTTATCTTCTCCAGAAGAGTCCATTACAAATATAGAAACGTTGCTTGTTAAGAGCCCATTAGATATGAAACTCTGTGGAGGAAAACTCTACGGAGGATTTGTTTCCCTCTGAAAATGTGCCTAAACCTAGACCTTGGTACGTAACAGGCCAATAAATACTTCCTTTTAAAATCTAAAAAATAAATAAATAAATAAACAAATAACTAGAATATACTGTAAGAAAACGTCACTACACAGAGCTACTTACTCTGTATTAGAGTAGAAAGGAACCTTTGATATTATTCCATGACAGCGATTTGAGAGCCGGGGCTGGGAGGGAGGAGTGTGAGGGAAGGTTCCGGTTATCAGAAACACCTGTGCAGCAGTGTGATTAACCTACACATGTTCTATCCACACTTGTATTTATGGATCAGAATTTCCAGGATGGGGAGGGACAGTTGTATTTTGATAATACAATAAATACATAAATAAAGCTACTCAAGTAGTTCTAGTAAGCTTATTCTTAGGAAAGAAAAGTAAATGCTGGCCTCCTTCAGATGTTATGAAAACGGAAACTGTTCACAGCCTGTTTTGTCTCTATTTTCTAGATTCCATTATGACATTAGTCTCTGGTCACAATTATCTGAAGCCTTGCAGGTAAGGAGTTTACCTTCACCTTCTTTTTCTGTTTAATGTCTTTCCTGGCTAGTCCCTCAAAAGTATATACTTGTTACCTGGTGTGTAGGGGTACACTGAATAAAGCACTTGGTATTATTCTAATTATTGAGACAGATGGTTCTCATGTTTGTTTTTCATTTGGATATGACAAATGTTTAATGCTGATACTAAATTATTGGAATAGACAAATTGTTAGATACATCACAGACTATGTTAATCTAGTGAGTAGTAAGCAAAGACATGTTTATATAATTATATCTTACCTTAGCTCTATACACCAGAAAAACCGAAGCCTGTTATATTCCTTGAAATTAAGAATGATTTCACTATTTCTGTGATACAGTTCCGCCTCCACCATTTATTATTGGAGTTATATAAGCACAGACTAGGAAAAGGTCAAGTTTTAAAATGTTGTAAAGGGAATTTTTCTCCTTTGATAACAGAGATTTAAATATGTTTTTGTTTTTGCCCATTATGTAATTATATCCTCCCTTTATCCACAAGTGCATAGAAAGGTGATCCTTTTGTAAACCAAAACCACCACCACCAATAACAAAAAAATATTTTTGTTGTCTAGCAGGGAAATAATTCCTGTCTAGATTTCACATAAAACTCATTCTATCCTAAATCACAGAGGCAGATTACATGGCTCTGACCACCATGCAGACCAGAAATGAGCAGGATAATTGGGACATAAAAATCAGATGATGCCAGTTATTACTGAAGCCCATAAAACAGAACTCCTTAGAAGTAGTTAGAATGGAAGAAGGAGATAAACATGATATTTCAGGAGTAGTTATTGTGTGCTATGACTTACAGTTACTGCACAAATTCTATAATATTTTGAGAGGTGGGGTACCAGTGGCTGAAAGTGAGGAAGGAGAGACCAGTGAAAAGCTTCTCCTGCAGCACAGAAGGGAAGAAGTGCATGAGTGTCCCAAGTTGACACAAGCATCAGGTGCCACAGGAAAGGGAGGTCTTATCTTCCAGGATCAAAGACGGAGTAGCATAAAAAAAAGTAAACATGTAAAATTGGTAAAGCAAAGAACCAATATAAGAAACAAATTTCTTGTAATCCCAGCACTTTGGGAGGCCAAGGCGGGCAGATCACCTGAGGTCAGGAGTTTGAGACCGGCCTGGCCAACAAGGCAAAACCCCATTTCTAATAAAAATACAAAAAAAAAAAAAAAAAAAAAAAAAGAAAATTAGCTGGGCGTGGTGGTGCATGCCTATAATCCCAGCTACTTGGGAGGCGGAGGGAGGAGAATTGCTTGAACCCAGGAGGCGGAGGTTGCAGTGAGCCAAGACCGGGCCATTGCACTCCAATCTGGGCAACAGAGCAAGACTCTGCCTCAAAAAAGAAAACAAACAAACAAACAAAAACAAATTAAGCAGAAATAAATACATAAATTTTTGTAATTTTGACCGTACCCTAAATAATAATGAGGTTTGAGACATCGACCATCATCAAGAGAGATAGAATCTACAAGAGAAACTGTAGCACATCTCAGTGAGAAGAATTACATAGTACTGCACACTTGGAATGTTCTAAGATATTATTAAGAAATGTAAGAAATTTCATCCATATTACAAATAAGGCAATTGAAAAATATAAGTAAAAAAGAAGACCAAATCTAGAAATAAATCTTGACTTCTACAGACCATGGCTAAAATATTTAACATAAATAATATATATCCATTAGTATTGACAGTGGTCTGAAAATTACTCATGAGAGGCTGGAATGAAATATCCTTTTGGGCAAGGGCTACAGCAGCTTCATTAACCACCCCAGGTGTTCTGGAATATATTAGGTGTCCAATAATGTCTGTCAGATCAAAGAATTCTATAATCTTTTGTACAAAGAATACTAGACTGAGAGTCAGAAAACCTGGGTTAGAGACTTCACTCTTTGGCTTCTCACTTGTGAGCAAATCACTTAATTACCCTGACTCTATATTTTATTTATTATAAAAGGAGAAATCAGGCTTCATCTATCTTGTGAAATAAATTCCTTACAGATGCAATTAAAATGGAATTTATATAAAATAATTTTCATACTGCAAATACAATATAAATGCACATGGCAATATGACTTCACAGTAACTTCTAAGTGGGGTTACTACTGTTCTTGGTAGTCCCTATGTATACTTCTCCACGCCACTGTACAAAGCTCTGACTAATCTAGGGCACTCCTTTCCTTATAGCTATTGTGGCCACCCAGAACTGACAATGAATTACATCATTCTCTAGCTAAGGTATCCTGTGCCAAATTTTAATGAAAGAACAAAAATTGCCTTATGACAAAAGCTTTCATTTACAAACTCTCCCTTCTGATAAATTCTGAAAGTTTAACACCTACTTTGTCTTCAGGGCATGGTAAAACTAAACTTAGATAATTTGGTCTGCTAATATCAAGCTTATAACAGGATGTGGCAGTTCGTGTTGTTACTAATAACCCATTGATGTGTATAAAATAGATATTGTGGGGAAAAGAAAGAGACACAGACAAAGTATACAGAAAGAAAAGCGGGCCCAGGGGACTGGAGCTCAGCTTACGGAGGACCAGCGCCGGCACCGGTCTCTGAGTTCCCTCAGTATTTATTGATCATTAGCTCTACCATCTCAGAGAGGGGAATGTGGCAGGACAATAGGGTAATAGTGGAGAGAGGGTCAGCAGGAAAACATGTGAACAAGTGCCTCTGCATCATAAACAAGGTAAAGAAAAAAGTGCTGTGCTTTTCATGTGCATATACATAAACATCTCAATGCCTTAAAGAGCAGTATTGCCACCAGCATGTCTCACCTCCAGCCCTAAGGTGGTTTTCTCCTATCTCAGTAGATGGAATATACAATTGGGTTTTACACCGAGACATTCCATTGGCCAGGGATGAGCAGGAGACAGATGCTTTCCTCTTATCAACTGCAAAGAGGCCTTCCTGTTTTACTAATCCTCCTCAGCACAGACCCTTTACAGGTGTCGGGCTGGGGGACGGTCAGGTCTTTCCCTTCCCATGAGGCCATATTTCAGACTATCACATCGGGAGAAACCTTGGACAATACCTGGCTTTCCTAGGCAGAGGTCCCTGCGGACTTCTGCAGTGTTTTGTGTCCCTGGGTACTTGAGATTAGGGAGTGGTGATGACTTTTAACAAGCATGCTGCCTTCAAGCATTGGTTTAACAAAGCACATCCTGCATAGCCCTAAATCCATTAAACCTTGAGTCGACACAGCACATGTTTTCTGTGAGCACAGGGTTCGGGGTAGGGTTGCAGATTGACAGCATCTCAAGGAGAAGAATTTTTCTTAGTACAGAAAAAAATGGAGTCTCTTATGTCTACTTCTTTCTACATAGACACAGTAACAGTATGATCTCTCTTTCTTTTCCCCACAGATATGATGATCATGTAAGTGACTGTAGAGAAGATGTGTTCAATAAATAAATATTCATTAAATATTTTCTAAATGCCTAGAGAAATCTAAAAAGAGAAACAGAGCTTTCAGCTAGTGATATCTCAGAATTTTTTGTAGAGAAATGCAATGGTTAGATACTTAAAAATTCAAACTAGTAAAACGAATATCAGAATAATTGAGAAGTACTTTACTGATAAACGAAATATAATTTTCCCTGAAATTACTTGGGAAAAGGGTTAACAAGGATAGATCTTAATTTATTTGTCATATTTTATAGTAGCCAAATTTTTATTTGAATTGTCATGGTTATAGAATTTAAGAAATGATGTTACTATTCTAAAAAACACTGCTTGGAAAAATACTTCAAAAATTTTGAATGGACCCCAATTAGTCCATTAGTAAATAGGCAATATATGTCTCCACATATGCTTATAAAAACAAACTGTGACTCTATAACACATACGTATTGCAATTCTGGAATGTAACAAAGTTTGAGACTTGGTCGTATTTCTCCTTATATAAACTACTTTTTCCACTTGATGGTCCTCAAGGAAGTTGTATTTTTACCCTTTCTATCTAGTTCTACTGAAAACATCCTTAGTTACTATAGGCAGTGTGATGATTAATTTTGTGTCAACTTGGCTGGGTTATGGTGCCTAGATATTTGGTCCATTATTATTTTGGATGTGTCTGTGAAGGTGTACTTATGGATGAGATAAACATTTAAATTGATGAACACGATTAGAGACAATTGCCCTCACTAATGTGGGTGGGCTTCATCCAATCAGTTGAAAGCCCAAATAGAACAAATACAGACCTCCCGTGAGCAAGAGGGAATTCTGCCAGCATGCTGCTTTCAGACTTGAATTGCAGCTCTTCCCTGAGTCTCCTGTTTGCCCACCTTCCTATCAAATTTTAGACTCACCAAGCCTCTACAATCACATGAACCAATGCTTTAAGGTAAATCTCTCTCTCTCTCCCTTTCTCTCTCTCTCTCTCTCTCTCTCTCTCTCTCTATATATATATATATATATATATATATGTAGGGGTGTGTGTGTGTATACACATATACACACACACACACACCCTATTGGTCTTTGATATGGTGTGGCTGTGTCCCCACTCAAATATCATCTTGAATGTAGCTCCCACAATTCCCATGTGTCATAAGAAGAGTCTGGTGGGAGGTAATTGGGTCATGGGGGCAGGTATTTCCTGTGCTGTTTTCCTGATAGTGATTAAGTCTCATGAGATCTGATGGTTTTATAAAGGGGAGATCCCATGTACAAGCTCTCCTTGTACGTCTCAAAGACGTCCCTTGCTCTTCCACTACGAATCTGAGGCCTCCCCAGCCATGTGGAACCATGAGGCCATTAAACCTCTTTCCTTTATAAATTACCCAGTCTCAGGTATGTTTTTATTGGCAGCATGAGAACAAACTAATGCAGTCTTGTTTCTCTGAATAACCTTAAATGAAAATCTTAGACATGCTTTTGTCTCTTCTCTGATCCCTTGATATAGTCCATTCCTGAATGAGCTCAACTAGGGTAATCTTAAGGGCTGGGAGAATCTCTAAGCAATGGATTTGCTTCCTAGATTCCTCAGGACCAGGCTCATATCTAGGGAGTGAGCTTCCACATTTCTTCAGTCCACGATCCCTTCCAGATCCCTGCCAAATGAGAAGAGTGGAAGAGATAATGTGGATATGTGAATACATGATTTAATATCTGCATTAACTTCACTACAATAGGAAGGCGAAATAAAACAACAGGTCAATAGAAACTAGAAGCTATTTCGTACTGAAATGGCACTCATCCCCGTTATAACATCATTTTCTGAAACACAATTTCTACCAAACTCTTCTCTGGACCATCCTCTAAGGTCAAACCAGCTGGACCACACATGTAGCTATACCTCTTATTGAAATTTAGTTCATTTAAATATGATTAAAGTTTCTCTAATTGACTTTGTTTTTCTTTCTTAACTCTGCCCTTATTATAATGCCATTGCCCATTCTCCCATTACCTGTAAGGCCAGACTTCCATGTCAGAGCATGAAGGTATAATGAATATTTGACTCTGGTTAATTTCCTACAATATTCTTGGCTGCTCATATTTTTGTGGTTTAAATAATTAAAACTTTTTAAATAATTCTGCCCATATTCTTTACTTGTTTTGCTTCTCTTTACCTCTGCCTTGACTGAACTGTTCAGCTGCTGACAAGTAGCTTAACATCTTATATTGCTACTAGATAAGTTTGATGCTTTTTATTCTTTCTCTGTAATATAATACTTTACTTTCTGATTAATGTTTCCCAGTCAATATGTTTTTTTTAACCACGGTCATCCTAAAAGCCTGGTTTTACTAGAAATTATATTCATTAATTCATCATTTTTCTCTCTTTCTGACTCTCTCTAGCTAACAAGAAATTACGTCTAGGATATCTGAGTAGAGCAGCTGATTACTTCCACCTCTTAAAGACTTAAGGATTAAAAGAAAACCATAGAATATGTATGATTTCATTAATATTTTCTTCATATAAGATTAATATTTTAAGGAACATTTACATTTGTCTTTAGCTGTTAGGTGAAGTACCTGCCTATTTTGTGCCTGCAACAAGGCAAGTCCACTGGAGGTGACAAGGCAGGCAGCCTTTAAAAGTGAGCTTTGAGCATGTAGTTTTATTCATAGAAATAATTTCCTTCCCTCCCTCTCTTTCTCCCTCTCTCCCTCCCTCCCTCCAGCTCTTTCTTCCCTTCCCTCCCTCCCTCCCTCTCTCCAGCTCTTTCTTCCCTTCCCTCCCTCCCTCCCTCCCTCCCTTCCTTCCTTCCACCGTCTCTTCCTCCCTCCGCCTCTCTTCTTCCCTCCCTTCCTCTTTTCCTTCTTCCTTTCTTCATTCCTTTTTTGTTTTCTTTCCTTCTATTCTTCCAGCTGTTGCTTTGTTCTGACTCCATTCATTTACTCCCTGTTCAGTTTCATTCTGTTTCTAGACTTTACCTGATTTCTGACATTTTGGATCTCTCTCTCTCTCTCTGTCTATCTCCTCTCTCTCTTTGTCAGATACTTCTTTCTGGGAAAAAAAGCATCTGATAAAGGTTACTGGGAAAAAAATGACTTCTTTGGTGCTTAACCTTTAATACTGTCTTAGGTTTGACTTACAACTTTTGCAACGGCACTTCCTTTTCCAGATAACCACTGTAGATAACCCCAGGTGACTTCTTCTTGCACTCATACATTGGAGCAATTTCCCATCAATTCTACTGCAGTTTCTCGAGAGGAAAATCAAACAATGGGTCGTGTATTTTACTAACTGCATTTTAGAGGTGAGAAAATTGAGGCAGAAAAAAAATTATACAATTTCCTTGAGGCCGAATAACATACTAGAAACAGAGAGCTTTAAGCCTTAGTTCTTTCTGATTAACATCACTATTCCATATTTAGTTGCAATTTCTCCAGGAATAGAGATTCAGAAAATAGATTTTACTTCTACAGTGATTAGATTTAAAAGTAAAGTAAGAAATGCTTATTTCACTCTAAGTAGAAATTTATTCATGGAGCTAGATCCAGATGTGGTAAGCTCATTACAGATGTGATAAAGCCCTTTGTAGAAATGGTATGTGAGAAACACAGGGGGGCTTTCACTCGTCCACTGTAAATCATGCATTCATCAAGCCTTTTGTAGGCACCATCTGTGACAGACCCTGAGAGAGGTGATAGAGATACAACTGTGAGCATGTCAGCATCCATGATTTAAATGACTTTATAGACTATCACAGGGTAAAAGTAAAAAAAGAAAAGAAAATATTTCTGAATCCATTCTTGAGATAATATATGTGATGGCAGTGATTTATATATAAATGGACAGATTATTTCTTTTCCATAAGTCTATAAATGACTTAAAAAGAATGATATGGTGTTAATCATGTAGTCGTAGTGGTGCCCCCATGACAGGGGCACAAAAATTAAAAAAATAAAAATAAAATAAAAAATAATTTTTTAATTTTTTAATTAAAAAAATTAAATTTTGCTCCCAAAGGGAGAAAATTGGTTATGGGAGAGGAAAACAATTCCCAGGCATTACAATAATTTGTGTTCCCCACAAAGAGCAACAGTACCTAAAAAGATATTCAATATGTCTGTGGAATTAAAGTTTCATTTGGAACTGGGTGTGATTAAGAAAAATATGTTTTTAAAGTCTCCTTAGGAGGGAAATATGAACAAATGTTGAGAAACACTGGTTAACCTCTTTTGATGTTTGAGCTATTGCCAGTATCTTTATTGGATTATTGGAACTATACAAAAATTATTGCAAGTAGCATGGAATATATTTATGATTCCCCTGATTAGAAAGAAATGCACTTTAATATCATAAAAATAGATCATCTAAATTATCCCAAGTATTTTCTTCAGGAGGAGGGACTTCTTTCATAACATGTATTTTTTAGATCTGGTAATGATTTTATTTTGCTCTGTGTACAAAAATCAGAAAGTGTTATAGCTATGAAACATTTCTTTCCCATTTTTCAGGTTCTGTGCACTCAACACATACACTGTATAACGTTTGACCTTAAAGGAGTTATTCTCCCCATCACATTTGCCAGCTTGAATGTCTGTCTTTATTCTCAATATATTTTTCTATTCTCACGTTGTCAACTTGCACCTGATCTTTTAAAACCCTTATTAATAATGATTATAGTCTATAAAATAAAAGATGCTCCACAATAGAAAAGATTGATGATATTAATATATAAAATATTCCTTACATATTGAACACAGTCAATAAAGAACTACCTCAAAAATTAGCACTCTCCCTTCCACTTAATGTGTCCAACTTGAGCTAGGTAGATCCTGGACACTCTCTCTATTTGTTTTTAACGGTAATATTACAGGTACTTAATAGAATGTCTGTAAAAATTATGACACCTTAATACATGTGGTGAATGAATTCAGATGTTCTTTATTTCCAATCAAAACTTAAGAGAATAAACTATCAATGCTTTTATCAAATTATTGTCTTTCCCCTTATTCATGGTTTCACTTTCTGCAGTTTCAGTTACTTGTGGTCAATTGTGGTCCAAAAATATTAAATAGAAAATTCCATAAAGAAATAATTAATATATTTTAAATTGTGTTTGTTCTAAACAGGATGCACCATTCCACTTCATCCTGTCTTCATCACAAGAAGAAAAGTGAGTAAAGTACAATAAGATATTTAGAGAGAAAGAGCAATATCTCATTTATGAAACTTCTATTACAGTGTATTGCTATCATTGTTTTATTTTAGGTTATTGTTAGTCTCTTACTGTACCTAATTTATAAATTTGGTACATTTATAAATTTGACATTTATACATATGTATATAAAAAAACATAGTTTATATAGAAATTTGTACTATCTGCAATTTCAGTCATCCACTGGGAGTCTCAGAAAATATTTTCCTTGGGTAAGGAGGAACAACTGTGACTTAAAGTCATTACCCTCTGTTTATTTAACTGGCTGTATCTGGAAGACTAAAAGATGAGAATTTGGGGCAGCAAATCTCAAGCACTGAAAAAACTTTCTATTGATAAAAAAATATAGTTTACAAAGGTTCTGATTATACAATATTGCCATCAGAGGCAGAAGCTTAATTTCGGTGCCCCTTTACTTGCATAATTTTTCATTCAGGGTTTTGTGTTCTATTTATTAAAGAAGACTCCCTAATTTTCATATAATTCAGTTCTCTGGAAAACCTGGATTAGTTCCACCCCGATGGCAGTAGTGACTGACTCTCAGCTCACTAGTGTTTCATGGCTCAGTCTTAGGGAAATTTCAGCCTACTTGACACAAGTGCCAAATCGATCTTTTCTCTTGCCTTTCCCTCAAAAATCCATCCCACACACTCCTGCCAGATAAAACTTCCTAATGTCTTTTTCTGCCTCTATAACTTTATTTCTCAGACATGTTCAATTCTTTCCTTGGCCCATAAAATTAAGTTCTTGCGCGGTGGTTCACGCCTGTAATCCCAGCACTTTGGGAGGCTGAGGCTGGCGGATCACGAGGTCAGGAGATCGAGACCATCTTGGCTAACATGGTGAAATCCCGTCTCTACTAAAAGTACAAAAAAATTAGCCAGGCGTGGTGGCGGGCGCCTGTAGTCCCAGCTACTCGGGAGGCTGAGGCAGGAGAATGGCGTGAACCCGGGAGGTGGAGCTTGCAGTGAGCCGAGATTGCGCCACTGCACTCCAGCCTGGGCGACAGAGCGAGACTCTGTCTCAAATTAAAAAAAAAAAAAAGTTCTTACTCTGACTTTCAATGCCACCTACCAAATGGCTGCAATCACCCTTCGTTTATCTTCCTGCTAATCCACTTTATATAACCTACTGTATTAATCAGGGTCCTCTAAAGGGACAGAACTAATAGGATAGATGTATATATGAAGGGAAACTTATTAAGGAGTATTAACTCACACTATCACAAGGTGAAGTACCACAATAGGTCGTCTGCAAGCTGAGGAGCAGGGAAACCAGTCCGAGTTTCAGAATCTCAAAAGTAGGGAACCCGACAGTGCAGCTTTCAGTCTGGGGCTGAAGGCCCGAGAGCGCTGGCAAACCACTATTTTAAGTCTAAGAGTCCAAAAGCTGAAGAACTTGGAGTCTGATATTCAAGGGTAGGAAGCATCTGGCACGGGAGAAAGATGAAGACCGGAAGACTCAGCAAGTCAAATCCGTCCACGTTCTTCTGCCTGCTTTATTCTAGCCACGCTGGCAGCTGATTAGATGGTGTCCACCCAGATTGAAGGTGAGAATCTGCGCCTCTCAGTCCATCCACTGACTCACATGCTAATCTCCTTTGGCAGCATCCTCACAGATGCACCCAGGAACAATACTTTGCATCCTTCTATCCCATCAAGTTGACACGTAACCATCACACCTATTAACTGAGTTACTCTTTCTCCCCAGTGTGGTACGTATATCCATGAATTCTTTCTTTTTTTTTTTAAATTTTCTTGAAATACTTTCTAGGGTGGCTCTAGATAGACCTGAAGTCATATTCTGGGCTGCCCAAAAAGAATAGGAGCTGATAAAAGCACTTGGATTTCCAGCTGCCCCAGGATTCAGCACTGTTAGCCTGCGTCAAAGTAACTCTGTGTCAGCCTGTACCACATTTGCCCATGATTGCTTCATTTTTCTCTTGGTATGCTCATCTCAGATTTTTTGATTCTGGTTATGGGACAAGAAGTTAAGCATTAGGTCTCTAATATAGCCTGCATTCATGTTATGAACAGATGATCATAAAATTCAAATAATTTCATAAGATTGACACAGATTTTTCTTACTCAAGAATTCAAGTTTGATGGAAAAAAACGTTTATCTGATTTAACTATATGGATTATTATTCTGTTTTGGAAAGAGACTATAATTGGGAAAAGATAATGAATTGTTAACTGAAGAAAAATATTTCCTGTGGATGTATACATTTGGTTACATATGAAACATAAGGCATTGTATTGTATGTTTCTTATATGGTGTTCCCAAGGACTGAAATATATCAATTTTATTCAGTCTTTCTTTACCTTCCTTTAGGTTACCCCAGGATCACAAAACAAATACTAAAAATCAAGCACTTCTAACAGCAGCAATGGCCTCCATGTTTCCAAATCTGCCTGTAAAATCCTTCCAACACCCTTGTGCTCATGTAAACACGTTTGACATGTAGGATTTCCTTAGTCCCCACCTACATGCTACCTTTCGCTCATTTGGTCTACACTTCTGCTATCTCATTTTCCCTTTACATTTAATATTTCTAAAATATTACCCATCAAATTAGCTTTTACGTTATTTGAAGACAGTACTCTCAAACCAGCATTTTGTTCAACTTTGTATACTCTAAAGATCTAGGTACAGGTTAAATGTGTAAACAGATATTTACCATGTTTTCCTTTAAAATGTGCTTCTGTTGAGACCTTTCTCCAAAAGTGTCTGCTCATCTCTCATTTTATTGTATTGATTGTAGAGCGGTTAAATGAGTTCTTTATTTCCCAAGTCTCCACATTCTTCAGGGAATTAGATGTTGTATTTCTTATCCTTCATGTCATAGGCAGCTACCTCCTTTGGTCACCTTCCATTTGTGCCAGTGTCCATAGTGCCATAACTTCCTTGATGTACTTCTCCAGACTGAGGTGCACACACACACACACACACACACACACACACACATATATACCCCTACACATGTATTTATGAGTGTTTGTATATATTGGGAAGTATTGTAAGTACTTTGTAATGGTTTCCTGTTTTTGTGTATTACTAAAACTTGGCGTTGCTATCTTCTGTGTATCTTATTCTTCCTCTCCAGATTGTTCAATTGCTCCTTTTCTTACCTGAATCTCAATGTTTGCTCCCACTTTAATTGTCTACCAATATTTCTAAGCTATTTTGTCTCCCTGTTGTGACTTCACAGTCAACAGTGGTGTCAGAAAGACAGTTTCCAATCTGTTATCATCTGTGAATATCATTAGTGTGGTTTTACTTACACCCTCTTTTAGCTCACTAATGAAGATGCTGGGTAGATTGCACCATGCATCAATTGTCTAGAGACAACACAGAGTAAGTTGTCATTTTCCTTTATCTTTCATTTTTGATCCTTTAATTATATCGTGGGTTATTTACAAGCTTATATCTAAACTTAAGAAGCCTTCATCCTTGGAGTGGATATAATTACACTAATACATAATTTTTAAATTTCATTAACAAAATTGTCATATGTATGTAATAGGATTTTTTTCTTCATGATCCAATGATCATTTTTTTTGAAATGATATTAGTCAAACTTCAGGGGTTGTTTGCCTGAATTCATTATGTTGTTTGCATAGCATGTGAATTTCATGGGCATAGCAATCACACAGGCAAAATGTCATATTTGTGCTTCTGCCCGTGGGATGAATGGCAGTGCTCACAAGACACTGCTCTTTACACTCTGTATCTTCACCATTCCATTCCTTTTTCTCTATCTGATCCTCTTTCCTTTGCAGTTGCCAAATTCCTTTCTACCTAGTGCTCATATAATGTCTCCATTTCCCCTAGACAATTATTGGTACTTCTTGTATTTCAACTTGTCCTGTATTCCAGCTATAACTCTATAATCACACTTGTCATGTAATAGTGTAACTCTTTTTATTTACATATCTATCATCATTCTAGACTATGAACATCTGGAGGGCAGAAATCTTGTCATATTTGTCTTTATTCCATAATTTTTAGCATAAAGTAGGCATTCAGTAAATGTTTGCCAATGAGTGAATTAACAGCTTGTTAGGGGACATCGATAAAAGCCTTAATTTGAATAAATAAACTTTTTATAAGCAATTTACATTGAAATAGCCCTTCTCCAAATTTGTACTATTTGCTTAACACTTTACTTGAAAATGCCAAGTTACCTTCTCTTCTTTACATAGTTTCAGTGCAGTTAATATTGTTCATAAATGAGCAAGTGATGCATAGTCAATTACTGTTATTATTTTGACCACAGAGGCTCTTAGGAAACAGTTATTTCTTTTTTAAGAACAAATGTCAATGAATGAGCCTCATTAGCCTTTTTTTTTTTTTTTTGGGTAGAGACTCGTTCTATCGCCAGGGTGGAGTGCAGTGACATGATCTCGGCTCACTGCAACCTCCACCTCCCAGGTTCAAGTAATTCTCCTGCCTCAGCCCCCTGAGTAGCTGAGATTACAGGTGCATGCAACCACACCCAGCTAATTTTTTTGTGTTTTTAGTAGAGACGGGGTTTCACCATTTTGGCCAGGATGGTCTCGATCTCTTGACCTCGTGATCTGCGCACCTCAGCCTCCCAAAGTGCTGGGATTACAGGCGTGAGCCACCAGGCCTGGCCTTATCAGCATATCTTAAAAAAATTATTGTACATTCTGTTTTCATTAAAATGTTAGACTAATCTTCTTTACAGTAGAGATTCATAACATTTAAATCTATAGCTATTGTATTGACATTTAGTTGATGAATTTTGGATTTTTTTATTATCAGCTTTCCAATACAAATTAAATTACAAAGTTTTCTAATATATATTAAATTATATTTAGTACATAATACTTGATAGTGGGTATTATGGGGTTCAAAAAATATTTTAACACAAAGGTAAAAAGAAAGTTTTTTTTTCAGTTAACTGGAAATGAGTAAGATTTTTCTAACCTTGTATATTCTATATGCTTTGCTTATGTTGATTTACAGGTTGGCATTGTTTTATATACTAGGTGCACTCCTGAAGGAAAAAAAGGGAGGAAATACATGATTAACATTATTCCTCTAAACTGGGCATCATGATAATTCCCTGAGGGCAGAGATTTTTATAAACTTGACTTGAATCTTCAATTTTATGGATCATGGAAAATCTCAATAGTTACTACTCATGGAACTTTACTGAAGAATTAAAGGACTATGAGAAAAAAGTAGCAAGTTGAGGGTTGCTTGAGAATAGACACATTCCATAAAATAGATCTTAAAATTATACCTCCACCCCGCCCCCCTGCCAACTACCATTAAGACAACCGCAATTAAAAATCTTAGTTAAAACTGTGTGGTCTCAGCTATGAAAACTCATCTTCAAGTCAATTTTAGCAGCCTCCCCTTCTCATCACATGACCCTCTTGGAGTCAAAACCCCTTCAACACTGTCACAACATAAGGCCTATTCTTTCCTATGGTACTGAGATTCCCTTTTCTTTCTAGCTCGCTTTGTTTTCTCCTTGCTATTTGAAATAGTGATATTCTGACTTCTTTTGTGGTAAGGGTGCCTGAGATTTGTGTTAGTCAGGTATGATAAGACACACAGACACAGGAGCGACTGTCATGAAGGAAGAAGTTTTCATACTCACAGATCCCTAGAAACAGGTACAAGATGTCATGCAGGGTCACATGGGGAAGAACCAGAGTTGGTCAAGAGGCGAAGCAAGTGAGGGGAAAGTGTGCTAGAGCCTTTATTGTATTTTCTATGGGAAGGAAGGGGTAAGGTAGGGTAAGCAGGTTTAGGATTGGTTAGTTAGAATAATTTCAGTGGGCTCTGGGACATAGGAACTGTTCCTAGTGGTCTGATTTCTGGCCTGGGGGTGATTAAGGCAGGTGGAGGGTGGGCCATAGTGTAAGCATACTATAAGTGTGATAAAGAAAGTGGTTGGAGATATAGGCTCTGAATTGATTGGTTTGCATATGAGAAGTGCGCCTGTAAGCAACTCTTTTGCCATATCTAGCACTTAGCTAACCCTGGAACGGGCAGTCTTTTCAGGGTCAGAAAGGCCCCAGGATATCAAAGCACTAAATATAGAAACTAGAAAATATGGTTATTACAGCTTTTCTTGTCCAGTGTGCTGCAATCTGGTCATATCTTCTATTAAGAGCATTTAAAAATTGATTTTTTTTCAAACCAACACATCTATTATTTCGTGAAGTAATGCATGCCAATTTTGCTATACATGATGATTAGTAGTCTTTTGTTGGCTTATATTTTATTTTAGTAAATATCTGTAACCTCTGTAAAGGCTCTATATCTCCTGCCTACCACCTCATTTAAAGGTTGTAATGAAGCAAGTTTATATACATATAGTGTATGTACATTATATATACACAGAAAATATTATTACTCAGTAGGCACAAAGAGAGTCATGTAATCTGCTTTGTAATTTTAAAGAAGTCTCAGCTCTTTGTCGTTTTTAGTACTTTAATAATACCTTTTATGAAAAGTTGACCATAGGAAAATCAACAAAGTCCTAAAGGTAAGTTGTAGTAACAATATAGAGGATTTCAGAACAAAAGAATCAATTGGGTTAACGGCCAGGCACAGAACTCTTTATGAATCAACTTTCAAGTGCCACTCTGATATTGGAGTTTCTGTCTCCTGGTGCCTATTTACTCAAGAACAATTGAATTTTCTCTACAATATTCATTTTAACTACTTCTCATAGCTTGAATTCCAATATTTCATCAAGAAAAAACGTTTCCAACATCAACTGTACTAGTTAATAAACCATGCATTGCTGATCTAAGAAAAACATAGCTACAGATCCAAGGCATGCCTCTGGAGTATGGAGGCAGCTAACAACCCCTGAAATAGGTATTCTCAATTATGTGCACTGACCACTCCTAGGTTGTAGATCGGAACTAACAAATACACACACATTTGATATTACGCTCAATGCTTTGAAGGAATTACAGACTACAAAACAACTTCCCCAATGAACTTCTAGCATCAGCAGCTAATTCGTTTACTGTCTTGGTATGTTCTCCCATGGGATTACAGTTTGTGTGCTCAATATGGGTAAATGTTAAATAAAAGGAGGATGGGGATTTCAATGGGTCTGGAAGTGATAGATGGAACAGTCTTTGTGGAGTAAAAATAAATGAAATGTATAAAATAAAAGTAACAATTGCCAAATAAACAAGGTGGGAGAAGTACAAATTGAAGTAGGAATTAGGGTGCAGAGTAACAGATTAAAATGAAATCTGAGTTAAATAAAATTCATTTATATTTGTAGTTTTCTTTGACAGCAATTATTGAGTGAATTGAAGGCACAGTTTGCGTCCACCCCAGATCTTCTGCTTACTGTTTTGGGACATTTCTACGAATATCAATTTCCTTATCAAAAGAGATATAATAATCCATACATCATGGTGTTACTGGCAGGATGGCAGGATAAAAAATATCAGGTATGGGACCTAGGAATCTGTAATTTTAATATGTTTCCCAGGTCATTTTGGTGCATGCTAAAATTTGAGGGCCCTGAGATCAAGGGAAAACATGCAGTTTTATTTGCAGACCAGGCTACATAGGAAATCTGAGGTATTGAACAGTTGCAAACGCTCCACTTTTTCCAGCCCCAAGGCTATGTTTTTGGAAGGAATCATGCTGTTAGAGTATTGCTTAAAAAAAATTTACTAGAAAAAGTGTTACTACTACCCAGGGATAAGATTCTCTGGGAACACTTGTCTGTGTTCTGGGAGGCCTCCCACAGGGGAAACACTGACATTTTCTGATAAGTAAAGAAAGATTGGGAAAGACCTTATAACCTATACCCCTCTGTCAGCCAACATTCTCCCTGCCAATTCCTGAATACATTATTTTCGCATTAATTCACAATGAAACTTCAGCTATCTTTTCACAAGAGAGAAAACTTAAAAAGACACAGCAGGTGTATTATATTATTTTTCTTTGCTTTATTATGTTTGATAAATAACTTGACATTTTGTTGGCATATTATTATTTTTATTTATATAAACCAGTACAGTTACTGAGTAAAAATGGTCTTAGTCAGGTTCAGAAAATGTGTTCACACATATATAGATGTTTTACTATATATATATGTTGATAGATAGATGATAGATATAGATATATACTACATATACATCTCTCTATATGTATATGTACATACATAAACTCATATATACAGCAAACATTGTATATAAACACACACATATATATTCCTTCACAACACATAATTCTTTATTTTAATTTACTTGTGATGAAGTGTCAAGAAGCTAAATATTTGGCCAGATGTGGTAGCTCACACCTGTAATCCCATCACTTTGGAAGGCCAAGGCAGGCAGATCACGAGGTCAAGAGATTGAGACCATCCTGGCCAACATGGTGAAACCTCGTCTCTACTAAAAATACAAAAATTAGCTGGGCATGGTGGTGGGCAGCTGTAATCCCAGCTACTTGGGAGGCTGAGGCAGGAGAATTGCTTCAACCTGGGAGCTGAGGTTGCAGTGAGCTGAGATCGTGCCGCTGCACTCAAACCTGGTGGCAGAGTGACATTTCGTCAAAAAAAAAAAACTAAAACTAAAACTAAATATTCTACTACCTATGAACAGATTAACTAGCTCTGATCTAGATTTTAAATTAAATACTACACTGTGTCCAGACTCCTTTAATTTTTGAATGATCATCTTGCTGCTGCTTAGCCTTCCAAAGGTGACTGAACTCTGTGAAACTATTAGTGAGTTCCTTCCAGAGCCTCCTTCAGGCAGGGAGTACCAATAAGAGAGGTAGACCAGAAGTCTTAGACTTACCTATTAGCGTTCTCAAGTGTCCAAAATAATTCTTTTAAATTCAGTACTTATGAAGTAGTACTAGTAACTGCTCTACTGAACAGGGTTTTTTTTTTTTAAAAGTAAATTGAGATAATTTGCATAAAATAACTGTAAAAAGAAAAAAAATATTTTTTAAATGTTTATTATTAATTATACCCATTTTTACATTCTACAAATATCTTTAGAAATCTTTGTTTTCAGTCTAATTACTCCTCAACCACCTCTGATAATGTAGACTATAAGAAGACTCAATAGATGTGTATGTCTCAATAGATGTGTATTCCACAAATGCTGGTATAGTTGAACTAAGCAAAAAAGAACGAGGAAACTGTGTCTTTAAAACCAAAGTGTGTTTTATAATCAAATGAGAGACAATAAGTTATCTGGCATCTGACTAAAATATTCTTAATCCCTATATCATAGTGAAGAAGTATGGTTGACTTTACCTCATCTAGTAATTTTATACTGAATTAGCAGATATTCTGTTCAACAGTGTAAAAGCCACTACAGATATTGATTCAAGCTTCTAATGAATAGAACAAATGGAAGCTGTAAACTATTTTTCTCTTTTTTTTTTTTTTTTAGACGGAGTCTCGCTCTGTCGCCCAGGCTAGAGCGCAGTGGCGCTATCTCGGCTCACTGCCTGCTCCGCCTCCCGGGTTCACGCTGTTCTCCTGCCTCAGCCTCCGGAGTAGCTGGGACTACAGGGGCCCGCCACCACGCCCGGCTAATTTTTTTGTATTTTTAGTAGAGACGGGGTTTCACCGTGTTAGCCAGGATGATCTCGATCTCCTGACCTTTTGATCCACCCGCCTCGGCCTCCAGAAGTGCTGGGATTACAGGCGTGAGCCACCGTGCCCGGCCACTGTAAACTATTTTTCTTTGAAACTTCTCTAAGCTACCTAATAACTAAATGGCAGATTTCTTGTGTAAGAGGCTATGACTGCTTGTAATTTTAGTTGAGTTCAGTTCAATTTCTATGATACTAGGCATTTTAATAAAAATAAATACCCCAGATTTCTTTTTCTATAGGATTCTAAATATGTGTATTTGAAGACTTCTTAATCATTTCCCCAAATTTTTTAAATTTTTTATTCTTATGTTTGTATTGAATAGTTAGAAATCTAATCAAACAGCTGATGGCATTTACAGCAGTGTAACACTGACTACGGTACTTAGAAGCTTGGATTCACAAGATCACACCCACACAAAACAACCATTTTTTTTTCTCATTATGTTTATTACCACCAGGTGATTAGTGATTCACTGAGTTAAGCTTTTCCCGTGTAAACTTTAAAGAGAAAAGTGAAAAAGAATTATGTGAGTTCAGTTTAAAAATTAAAGGTATGTATTAAATATAAAAATAAATGAGTATGAATATTAACATTAAATTAGTAGAAATGCTTAATAGGGTTTCTGGTGCTGAAGAGACCATGATAAATAAGATAAATATTTCTTGCTGTCAGAGAGGCTAACTTCTAAAATGGAGGGTGACAAACAAAATGATTAAATAAATAAATTGAACAATATCGTGTCGGATTGTGAAAAAGATTACAAAGCAAACAGTCAAGGTGATATGATAGGTGTGTTGGAAGTCAGGGGTCATTGGGTGGCACTTGACATACTCAGTAGGGGAAGGTGTTTTTGAGTAGGTAAACTGGAGTTAAGAACAAAGGGTGAGAAAGGGCCAGCCATGTGAAGAGCTGGGGAAAAGCCTTCAAAGTAGAGGGAACACTACGTGTGAAGAACTTGAGGTGGGGAAGAGTTTAGGTTTTTGATGGCCAGAAAGAAAATGAGTTTGCTTAGAGTCGATTGAGCCTGAGGAGAATCATACAAGATGCATTAGGAGAAGTAGGCACAGTCTACATGGCAAAACGCGTCATTAAAAAGAGTGTCAAACTCCTAAGTATACATTTAGTGTTTATTCCATCAAAAATCACAACTGACATTATTTGTAAAATTAGAGTATAGTTCTCATTTTGCATTAAGTAGAATTATTTATCTTGTCCTAGCAAATATTTGTTGTGCACTTACTATGTGCTAGACACTGTTTTGTGTTCCAGGAATAGAATAATAAACTAGAGAGACAGCAGCCTGCCCTCTTGGAAATTGCCTTTAATTCTCTTTCTTTGTTTATAGTGTTTTGAGTGCCAAAAGATGACAGCAGTATCTTCCAGGTTTCCCATTGCAGCTCTGTCCTGTTCCTGGTTCTAATTTTGCTGAAAAAAGCCTTGTATAGATTTCACTAATCCTAGAAATTAACGGCTTCTGTACCCTCACAGAAAAAAAAAAAAAGCTTTCCTCTTGTGAAGTCAAATTTTGATTTTATAACGACATAATTTCTTACTCTCTAAGAGACGACAGAAAATGATAGAATATGAAGCTGTTAATTGAGTTGACATCTGAAATGGGATTACTTATGATGATAGCTATCCCCGAAAGTGGACTTCCATTCTCTTTGTAGAGGGGAAGGCATTCATTAATTCCTTGGTGTTACTTAATATGAATGTTTATATGATGCAGAAGAATAATGACTCAGACTTCTTAAATAATCCAGCATTTTCTACCTTCCAAATAAATTGAAAAAAAAGTCAGAAAATAGTTGTAAAATATAGACATGGTAGTTTATAATTTTAGAGCCGTTTCTATAGACACTTCTCACTGAATGAGTTTTTTAAATGACATTTTTATCTCCACATTATATTTAATTTAAATACTACTAGAAGTAGTTAAACTTATATTTAAATATTACGGTTATATTTAAATACTACTGGAAGTCTCAAATTGAGCTAATGTTGACAGTAATATTTCGATTGTAAAACCAGTTTGATGAACAAGTGTGTTATGAAAATTCGAAAGGGCTATAGATTGAGAGGTTTTCTTTTTTTTGTTTTGTTTTGTTTGTTTATTTCTGATTGACACATAATAATTTTACATATGTATAAATTGCAATGACCAAAGGTATCCATAATATATAGTATACCACAAAATAGCTAGAAGAGTATTTTGAATGTTCTCACCACAAAGAAATAATAAATGTTTGTGATGATGAATATGCTAATTATACTAATTTGATTATACATTGTATACATGTATTAAGATATTATTTTCAAGAGCTCACAGTACTAAAACCCTGTGGGAATGCAAGAAAAGTGACTTGAGAAATGATAATTACAGAATGACAGTTGACAATTTAACTATAAATAAATAAGTACAAAAATGAAATTGTAATGGGCTTCATGGGTAAAACAATAAAGGGCTATGACCTTTATACAGGAAATGTAAAACTTTACTGAGAAGTTTTCTTTAAAGTACATCACTTTAACTGCCCTCAAAGAGTTTAAGCAAGGTCTGTTATTTTGTTTATCGTTCTAGGTGTAAAGTGAAATAACTTTGATTTAGAGAGTCTGTACTGGGAGAATTTTCATATATATGAAACTTAACTTCGGAAAAGTCAAATATGATGCACTAAATGACTCCAAGTGTAACTCGTAGGAGGAATTTCTCAAATAACTTTAAGTATGATTTATACGTATCATATATATTTGTTTCATAATAGTGTTCATTTTATTTGTTTCTTCATTCCCTGTGGTTATAAAGGGAGATATGAGGTCACAGTGGGTCAAGCGTTTTATAGATGATTTGACAACAACTGTTCAATACCAGGAAAATAAACAGAAGTTGAAATCGTACATGTATTCATAATTAAAGTCATACTTCAGCAAGCTGGCTTTAAATATACAACATATAATTCTTTTAAATCAGACTCTCTGAATCCATGACCGCCATGTCTTCATGAAGCTGTCCTTCCTCAATCCCCATCTGTTTTAAGGGTTCCACCCATGTTCTTCCTTAGCACCCTGAGTATTTACTCTATTTACCTATTTGTCATGCTAAATTATGGCATAATAAATAAGGCAACCAATTCTTGATGTCTTATTATGTTCTAGTGCTGGGCTAAGTAAAATACTATATATACCATATTATTAAATCCCTAAGACAAACAAATATCTGCGTTAGATTTTATTATCTCCATTGTATACCAAATGAAACCTTCTTTGAGAAATTAAGAATCTTGTACAAGGTCACATGGCTAGGAAATTCTGAAAATGGGATTAAACATGGGATTAAATCCCATGTCGGATCGGTTTTACTTTAAAGCCTCCTACTTCCATTTATTTGTCTACCTTTCTATTATATTGCAAATTTTTACGAGGTCAAAGGACTTAGACTTTTATCAGAGAAATTTCTGCCACTGTCCCTGAAAGATGAAAAAAAAAGTGTAAAGACCAGCAATTAGAATTTTAAAAAATCTATTCCAGTGATTCTGCACTCTTAGAAATAGACGACACCTTCCTTGCAGTCTTATATTCAAGGAAGCTAATTTTCCTTATCTATTTGAAAACTAAAGACACTGATATGCCACAGTGAATATAAGATAAGAATGCCACAGACTTTATAATTAGCATCCATTCTTCACAGAGGATAAGCAGGATTAAAGTCTAGTTAACAAAATGAATTATATTTCCTGAATGCTTGTAATTTAAATCTATGTGGTTGAGTTGTTTTTACAAGAAGCAAGAAGCAAGTAGGTAACTCCACAGGCAGCTGGTAGAAGGCACCGAAGCTAGATCTATACAACTACATGCCCTTGGGTGTTTTAACCAAACTCTTCAGCTAACCTCTTGGATTACACTATTTTAAACAGATCAAGGCAGTGGGAACTGTACATTTGGAAGAAATAATTGCTATCTAAACTATACATGGTTGGACTGCATTCATTCAGGCTTTGTGGAACATTTATTTGTGCACATTTTAGCAAGTTGCTCAACTTTCTGTGATTTATTGTTTTCACTTACTGAATGGGTGTAGAGTAATAACTATGGTCATCTTAGAAGTTTATCTGCATTAAGTAAACCTCCTACCAACACGGTAAGGTAGCGACTAATTATTTTTCTCATTTTACAAATGAAAAAAAGAGGTACAGTGAAATAAAGTAGTATCGAACGTGACAGACCTCATAAACAATGGAGTTTGGAACCAATGCCAGTTTACCAGACAAGGTATGCTTAACTACCACAGACAGCCACCATAATTACACTATTTCAAAGGTTTCTGTGGGATAAAAAAGTAGTTTCCAAGAAATACTGATGTCTGGCTTCCAACCCCTGTGCATTCTGTTTCATTGGTATGAAGTGTAACTCAGGCTTTGGGATTTTTCAAAGCTCCCCAGGTGATTTTCAGGTTCAAAGTTTGAACCCAATGGTATAAACACTTTAGCAGAGAGCATGACACACAAAGTGAAGGTGATAAATATCATCTCTATTAATACTCCTATTATTATTAATGGTATCATTAGAAACTGGTATGAAAGCAAAACAGGTGAATTATTTTTTAAATGACAAAATATAAGGCAAGGACAAAACAAAATGAAACAACAAATTAAGTGGTATGTGGCCACCATCTTTTCCTGTTAAAAAGATAAATTTTAAAATTGCTTTGTGTAAAAGATAAACTAAAGAAAAGTGGATGCTGACAAAATAAACCAATGAAACAGTAATAGACCTGAAACTTGGCTTTTAGTTGAGTTCTACTGGATTCTGTTTTCTGGTTTGAGTCAGAGAAAATCCACTTTGGAGCTTCCCATTTAGCTGGCTATACAGGGACAAAGCCTAAAATATTTATCAGGAATACAACCATTTCTCACATGGTTCATATTTTTCATGAGATTTTGAAGTTTTCTGTAGTGATTACTGAGTCACTTATAGCTTTGCACAGAAGAAAATTTGCATTCAAGGAGCTCAGGCAATATTCAGCAGTTTCCTATCATTATAACTGTCTATAATATTTCTAAACTGTCCCACCTGTAGAAATGGATATAGACTTTTTTGATCTCTCAATATTTATTTCAGCCTTATGATTCTGTTGATAAGATTATACATTAGCAAAACCTAATGCTTAGAATGAATATACAACTGAGGTACTAGACACAATTTCAAGTTACAGTGAGTTTCTCTCTGTCTCTAGTTTTTCATCCTTCAGCTGTGGCTTGCTTTAGGCAAAGGACATGTGGTTACTAATTTTAGTTTGTCATTACTTGAGTTTCCTAAGGTCAGCTAGCTGTGGTGACTGGAAGGAAATGCATGCGTGCGTGAGTGTATTAGTCAGAACAAGGGAATTATTTTTACATCAATCTGCAGCCTTTGTTTACTTGTCCTAGGGATGACGTAAAAATATTTTCATACAATCTATTAAATTTAACTTACTTTTACATTTAATGTTTCAAAACTCTGTACATAAAGTAAAAATAATATTGACAGTTTTTACTGTGAAGAAAGAGTGAAAACATTAATATATTTTGCCTTTTTCCCTCTCTCTCTGAGTCCCTATGACAGCTGAAGGGTATATCTAGCCTAATGCTGAAGCTACTGAATTTATTTTCAGGATATTTTAATGCTGTCAGAATATATACAACTACAAAAATACAACTAACTCTATTATCGTAAGTACCATGATTGACATTTCTGTCCACAAAAAGGTACATTATGTGTCCATAATGTATTAGACAGAACAAATCTATAAATTTCCTATGCAATTTTGTCATGAACAATATATGACCTAAAAACTAGGTTTCTTCAATTTGTTACAGTAAATGGATTCTAGCAAATCAGAATTTTCAGAGCATGAATATAATCAATTCTAGCTTAGCTATTCTGGTTTAGAAAAGTCAGCTCAATTATTTCCAGTCTTTTAGACATCTCCTAACAAGAGAGCATTTGGTTATTTAAACAGCATCACAATAAATTGTGTATATTATATTACCTGGAAAGTATATTTTTAATATCTGATTCTATACACACATATATAGAGTCAGATATACCATACAAAATAATTTAATTTTCCATATGCAGAAGAAGCACATCAGTAGAAAAGCCAATGATATTTTGCTCTTTTACATGTTATGTACATGTTACGAAAAATAACTTTCTCCTTTGAATTCATTGTTAGGACTTTGTACAGTGCTGCCAATTACTTTCAAATGTGAGAGAGGATATATATCTAGTTGGAATTCAACTGTAATTTAGCCTATAAAATACGATCTTACAAATAAACATTAATTGTTGCTGTTTCCACCAGGCTGTAGTTTTCTAAACCATTAATTGACTTCCTAGTCACCAATTGATTTTTGTGATTTACAAAATTAAAAATAGGCCAGGTGTGGTGGCTCATGCCTGAAATCCCAGCACTTTGGGAGGCCAAAGCAAGAGGTTTGCTTGAGGCCAGGACTTGGAGACCAGCCTGGACAATGTAGTGAGATCGCATCTGTACAAAAAATACGAAAATTAGCCTGGTGCTGTGGCTCATGCCTGTAGTCCCAGCTACTTCGGGAGATTGAGGTGGGAGGATTGCTTGAGCCCTGGAGTTGGAGATTACATTGAGCCATGATCCTGCAACTGCACTCCAGTCTGGGAGACAGAGTGAGACTCTATCTCTAATGAATGAATGAATGAACAAATGAATAAAAATTTACAATGAATAAAGTAGTAGCATATTTTTCCTTATGTTCTGTGTTTACAGAGTCTGATCTTTAATTTGCCAAGTTTGATCTATATTTATATTAAAATGACTTTTCTTTCTACCAAAGAAAATCTAGCAGAACAATCTTAAAGAGACTCTACCAATTACGAAATAAGTTTTAGTCATTATTCTAAGAGTGATTTGCTATTTGACCTAGCAAGAACATTAGTAATTCTGGTAGAACGTGGTTCTGATAATCTTCAAGAAGACATAGATGGCCCATTTGTCTTCATGCTTTTCCCTAGCTCAAAGTACCTGGGGTCCGTTCCTGAGTGCTGTCAGCCTATCTCACTTTCCTTTATATACTATGCACTTAATCTCAGGCCATGTACCAATGGTAACTGCTATGCTTGCTGACCTCTACAGTGGGAAATTACCAAGTCGGAACCTCTTTCAATTCCCAAAAGCTCTCCTTGTTTTCTTAGTCATTCTAGTATTATCTCACATCAGTGGATTTACTCCTTCAGGAACATGCATATAGGAACCGCCAACCAAAGAGAGGCATTTCACTAGGCACATGAAGAAAGGGGATATTAAAAGTGAAACAACCATATTGGATCAATCACCTGAAACTTTTATTTTAAAGGTCAAATAAGTGTTGAGGAAATTGGGATAGTCTTGGAAGGGCTAGGAAAGAAAATTAAGGGTACACACAGAACCTTTCCAGAGTAGGACGTATTTTATAGGAGAGTTAGTTTTGTTCAAGTGTAGCATAAATTGGAAGCCACCTTGACCCCCAACTATTTAGCAAAATGGCTGGGCTTTGGGAATATTGGCTGAGCATGTATGTGTCAAGCAAAAAAGACACAAACTGAGAGACCAGGTATGAGAAAACATGATGTATTGTACTGACATCTAGGTAAACCAAATCATTTTATCAATGTACAAGCATCTATAGAAAGTGTAGTATCTGTTTTTAACAGAGACATCAAGTAGCAGTGACTAAAACAACTGTCTCATTGTGGCCTCCAGTCCACTCTTAACCAAATACAGATGTGTCCCCAGCTCCCTTCTCTTCCATCCCTATCTACACAGTACATATTCCCAGTGGTCCACCATCACAACCATTTGCTTGTCAATACCTCCAAATCCCTTTCTTTTTTCTACATCCATCGGAGTCACAGGGAATGGCTGTAGGTATATTATCTCACAAACTTGCTTATGGTATCCACTTGAGTTATTTTTTAAAATACTTTTTTTGTTATTTTAATTGATGAATCATAATTATATACATTTATTGCATACAATGTGATGTTTTATCTTGATATCTATACATGCAGTATAGAATAAACAAATCAAGCTAATTAACATATCTTACCTTTCTGGTCATTTTTTTTTGTGGCAAGATATTTGAATTTTATTCTCTTGGTTACTTTGAAATACACAATACATTATTATTGGGAACTCAATACTTCCTAACAATTCTACTATTTCTTTAGTGTGTTTACTCTCTTCCCTTTTGGAAACAACTGTTTTATACCTAGTTTTATTTCGTCAAACCAGTAGCATGGTATCCCAATTCATTCTGGCCTGAAAACCTAATCTTACACTTCATTGATAAAATGGAAGTTAATGGAAACAAACAAAACAACAACAACAACAACAAAAACGCTACCTCATCTTCTCTTCACCAAAGCCTGCACTTCTGTTAAGAGGAATGAAGCGTTCCTGCCCTATCATAGTGCAGTCCCTCTTCCTTCAGTTCTTGGCTTCATTTTTTTCTATCTCCTGGACTCACCCTTAACATGCATTCTTTTCTTCTGCATTTCAACAAATCCTGATCTACTTGATATTTTATGGTCATGTATAGACACATTCAGGAATTATTTTTCTTTAAAGTATTTCTCCCATAACCTCATTTCACCTTTCAGCTCCTACTCAATGTCTTGTCTCCCTTAGAGAAAACTCTACATTCTATACTCATTATCTTCATTTTTGTCCACATTGCCAAGTCTTACCACTCCACTAAAACATCTTTTTCAAGGTTGCCATAGTCATAGTGTTGCTTTATTAGCCACTGGCCACATCCCTGTTTTTTATCTTTATTAAAACTTAGAATTTGAAACAACTGAATACTCACTCTTTCTTGAAATATTCTGTCTTAGTTATTGGAATCCCCTGCTGTTGTAACGTTTTCTTTTTCCTTTCTTCCTTTACCACCTCAAACTGGTTATTTGCTCTATGTAGTAAAGACTTAACTTTATACAGAGACATACCTGGCCTTTGCCCTACATTACCTTAAGGTGGTCTGTAGGCCCTTGGAATATCCTGCCTTGATAAAAATGTCTTTATTTACCAGGTGGCCTTGGCCACTGGATAGTTTAAAAGTGTTATTTATAATGGAGGCTTTGAGACCCAGAAGTATCTTCTCTGTCTCTAGAAAGGCTGGAGACTGAAGTTCACCCATATTTGTAGTCAACCATGGATCCCCTCAGTAAAAATTTTGGATACCGAGGCTCAGGTGAGTTTCTGTGGTTGGTAAAACTTCATACTTATTGTCACATATTGATGGGAGGTAACTTTCAGTGAATTCTATGAGTAGTTCTAGAGAATTATCAAGTATAATGGTGGTTTGGGGAAACTCCTAAACATTCAAGTGATATTAGAAGTGAGGGAGGTCTCATGGGCTGTGCTTCTTCAAATTCTGCAGGATCCTTCTCCTCTTTTTTGAATATTAGAGTGTTCTAGGGCTTGGTCCTAGACCCCTTTTCTCTAACTACCAACTCTCCCTATATGATTTCATGGAGTCCTGGATTTTCAAATGCCATCCAAAATCAATATTTCTAGATCCAAATTTTCCCAAGGAGTTCAGGATTTATAATCATTCTCATTTGTAACATGTGCTTTTATGATTATTAGCTGCTGAATTTCACATGCCCCACAGAAAGCTCTTCATTACCCCTTCTCATCTTGTTTCTCTTTAGTTAACGTTATCTTAGTTAGTAGCAACTACTTGCTCAAACTAGAACCTAAGACATGTTCTTGATTCATTCTTTAAATTACCTTATGACATAATGAGGTGAATTCAATATCGGGTTGTATTTTAATTAGCACTGATAATTCAGTGCATATGAAAAGGTAAGATTATTCTGTTGGTAAAGGTATGATCATCCTGATTGTTAAAATATTTTACTACATCTAGACTAGTTTAAAAAACCCATTGCTTGAAGCAAGACTTCATTTATCTTTCACCTTCTGTCCCAGCCTCTCTGGTTGTATACCTAATTATTTTTCCTACTTCCTGGAATCCAGTGACTAAAGGGTTAATGCCTGTCTGGGGAATTTTAGGACTTTGTTCTGACTCTTAAACCAGCTTCAGTTATGGCTGGTGGATTCTTGTGCTAGTTATATCAAAAAGTTCTCCTCTCAAGCAGTTCCCTTGATATCTCTTGGGACTACTGAGGGCTGATTGTCCCACACTGGCTTGTGCCAGTTCTCCACATCTCCCACCAGTTCATTGTTGGTTTCCTGGGAAGGCCTTCTTTCCCAATATCTTCTTGATCTTGAACTCCAGGATGGGAGAAAGAGTGCCTAGTAGCTATGATGGTGCTTCAACGTGCAAATGCCCAGTAATCATCCGGCACCTTTCAAATACAACAATATGCTTCTGGCCATTGTTCTCTTGGAATCACTGTTGCTTATGTGACTTCTTATGTGAATTAAAGCCTTCATGGTACCTTTTTCCTATAAGTTCCTGGGAGAAACCTGGAGTCTAGGTGGGTTGATCTAATTAGGGCCACCAAGAGCAGTAGCAGGGCACTGGCCATTCTGCAATCGCTGTGGGTGCTCCATAGAAAGTTGCGGGGCCTGGAGAAATGCATGGAGTTGACAAGTCTGTTTAAAGATAGAGGAGCCCAGAGTAAAGATGTCTGTTTTCACCATTCTCATTGTTGTTTTTTGTTGAGATATACTTCAAGCGTGAAAACATTCATCCTCTTAAAATACATAAAGATTATTAGTACATTCACGGTTATACAACCCTCACCACTATCAGATTCCAGGATTTTTTCATCATCTAAAACAAACAAACAAACAAACAAACCACGTAACTACTGGCAGTCATTTCCCATTATCCCCTCCCCGCAAGTTCTGGAAATTACTAATCTACTTTTTGTCTTTATGAATTTGCCTATAATGGACATTTCATATAATTGGAATCATACAACGTGTGCCTTTTTGTGTTTGCCTTCTTTCAGTCAGCATACAGTTTTCAAGATACATCCATGTTTTAGCATGTGTCACTACGTCACTCCTTTTTATGGATAAATCAGTTCATTGCAGAAATATACCCATTTTGTTTATCCATTCATCAGTTGATGGACTTTTGGTTTGTTTCCACTTTTTGGCTAACATGAATAAAGTTAAAATGACATTTGTGTACATATTTTGTGGAAATATATGTTTTATATATCTAACTGTGGAATTGTTCAATCATATGGTCACTCTATGTTTAACTTTTTGTGAAATTGTCAAAATGTTTTTCCAAATGGCTGTACCATGTTACGTTCCAATGAGCAAAGTATAAGGATTTTAATTTCTCCACATTTTCACCAACACATGTTATTTTCCATTTTTATTATAGTCATTTTGAATTATAGGAAGCAGTATTTCATTGTGGTTTTGATTTGTAGTTTTCTAATAATGAATAGTGTTGAGCATCTTTTTATGTACTATTGACCATTTGTTTATCTACATTGAAATAATATCTTAATCCTAAGCCCATTTTTAATTATTCATCTTTTACTGTTGAATTATAAGGATTCTTTTTATATTCTGGATGATAGATACATATCAAATGTATGATTTGCAAATGTTTTCTCCCATTCTCTGATTTTTTTTTAGCTTCTTAACAGTGTTATTGAAAAGAAAAATGGGTTTCTTGATTTTGAAAACGTCCAATTAATCTATTTTTTCTTTTGTTGGTAAATTCGAAGTCAGTAATATTTATTTCTGTATTTTTCTTCAAAAAGTTTTACAGTTTTAGTTCTTATAGTTAAGTCTTTTATCTATTTTGATTTAATTTTTTGTATTATGTGAGATGAGTCTAAATTCACTCTTTTGCATGTTGATATCTAGTTGTCCTAGAATCATTTGTTGAAAAAACTAAAACACCACATGTTCTCACTCATAAGTGGGAGTTGAACAATGAGAACACATGGACACAGGGAGGAGAACATCACATACCAGGGCCTGTTGGGGGTTGGGGGGCTAGGGGAGGGATAGCATTAGGAGAAATACCTAATGTAGATGACGGGTTGATGGGTGCAGCAAACCACTATGGCACGTGTATACCTATGTAACAAACCTGCCCGTTCTGCACGTGTATCTCAGAACTTAAAGTATACTTTAAAAATTAAAAAAAAAAAAGGTAAAAACATTAATAAAGCAGAAAAAAATCAACTGCTTTTCTTCCCAGTAATCTCCTGCCCTACTTTTGTGGACATGATGGAATAACTTGAGACAAATGCCCTGTATACGGATAGTAGTGTTGTTTCTGCCCAATGGATGATGGAACATAACAGATGCCAGATAGAGAAGGAGTCGGGAGGAGCCTTGGAAATGTGGAAAGTAAAATACTCTGAGCCTTGGAAATGTGGAAGGGAAAATACTCTGTGAAGGAACATTGTTCTCAATATTTTGGGGCCATTTTTAGCTTGGAGCTAGCCTTTTAAGGGAGACACATCTGTCTTATATTTGATCATGAGATTGATTCTTTTTCTTTTAAGTTCTGATATGAAGTTTGAAAATTGGGATTTGAAACCAGGAAAAAAAACCTACATTACTGTAGTTTGCCCCTTTCCCCGTCAATCCTTGCCCCTTTCCCACCTACCCTCTCCAGTAGTTCCCAGTGTTTATTGTTCCCATCTTCATGTCCATATGTATCGAATGATTAACTCTCACTTATATATGAGAACATGCAATGTTCAATTTTCTGTTTTTACATTAATTTGCTTAGGGAGATGGCCTCCAGCTGCATTCATGTCACTGCAAAAGACATAATTTCATTATTTTTTTTATGGCTGCATGGAGTTCCTTGTTGATGTGCCACATTCTTTATCCACTATACTGTTTATGATCCCCTAGGTTGATTCCATGTCTTTGTTATTGTGAAGAGTGCTGTGATAAACATACAAGTGCATAGGTCTTTTCGGTAGAATGATTTATTTTCCTTTGTGTATATACCCAGTAGAGGGATTGCTAGTCTGAATGATAGCTCTGTTTTAAGTTGTTTGAGAAATCTCTCAACTGCTTTCCACAGGGGCTGAACTAATTTACATTCCCACTAACTGTGTATAAGCATTCCCTTTTCTCTGCAGCCTTGTCAGCATCTCTTTTATTTTTTCCTTGACTTTTTAATAGTAGCCATGGGAGTGATGTAAGTTGATATCTCACTGTGGTTTTCTTTTGCATTTTTCTCATGATTATTGGTATTGAGCATTTTTTTCATATGCTCGTTGGCTGCTTGTAAATCTTCTTTTGAGAAAATGTCTGTTTATATCACTATATCTTTTTAATGGGGTTGTTTTTTGTTGAATTGTTTAACTTCCTTATACATGTTGGATATTAGACCTTTGTTGCGTGTATAGTTTGCAAATATTTCCTCCCATTCTGTGGGTTTTCTGTTTGCTGTGTGGATAGTTTCTTTTGCTGTGTATAAGCTCTTTAGTTAATTAGGTTCTACTTGTCAATTTTTGTTTTTGTTGCAATTGCTTTTGGGGGCTTAGTCACAAATTATTTACCACAGCCAATGTCCAAAATGGTATTTCCTATCTTTTCTTCTAGGACTTTTATAGTTTAAGGTCTTACATTTAAATCTTCAGTTCATCTTGAGTTAATTTTTGTATATAGTAAATGATAGTGATCCAGTTTCATTCTTCTACATATGGCTAGCCAGTTATCCCAGCACCATTTATTGCACAGGGAATCTTTTCCTTTTTTATCATTTTGTTGACCTTGTTGAAGACAAAATGGCTGTAGGTGTGTGGCTTTCTTTCTGTGTTCTGTATTCTATTCCACTGGTCCATGTTTTTGTTTTTTGAACCAGTATCGTGGTATTTTGGTTATTGTAGCTTTATAGCATAGTTTGAACACAGGTAATGTGCTGACTCTGGATTTGTTGTTTTTGCTTAGGATTGTTTTGCCTACTTAAGATCTCTTTGGTTCCATATAAATTTCAGAAGAGTTTTTTTTCTAGTCTCTGCAAAATGATATTGGTATTTATAGGAATAACATTGAATCTGTAGATTTCTTTGGACAGTATGGCCATTTTAACTGCATTAATTATTCCAATCCATGAGCATGGGATGTTTTTTCATTCATTTGTGTAATTTCTGCTTCATTTCCCTAGTGTTTTGTAGTTTTCCTTGCAGAGATCATTCACCTCCTTGGTTAGATGTATTTCTAGGTACTTCATTATTTTTTGTGGCTATTGTAAATGGGATTGTGATATTATTTGGCTTTCAACTTGAATGTTATTGATATATAGAAATGCTAGTGATTTCTGTATGTTGATTTTTATCCTGCAAATTTACTGAAGTCGTTTATCAATTCTAGGAGTCTTTTGGCAGTCTTTAGGGTTTTTTAGGTATAGAATAATATCATCATGAAGAGAGGAAATTTGACATCTTCCTTTCCTAGTTAGAGATGTCTTTATTTCTTTCTCTCACCTGATTGTTTTGGCTAGGACATCCAGTACTATGTTAAATAGGATAGGTAAGTGTGGACATCCTCATGTTGTTCCAGTTCTCAAGAAAATGGTTTTGGCTTTTGCCCATTCAGTATGATGTTGGTTATTGGTTTGTCCTAGATGATTCTTATTATTTTGAGGTATGATCTTTCAATGCCTAATTTGTTGAGGTCAAAATATTTTCTAATGTACCTTTTTATTTCTTATTTGACTCGAAGTCTTTTAAGGATTGTGTTGTTAATTTCCACATATCTTGGAATCACCCAACTGTCTTTTGGTTATTGATTTGTGATTTCATTTCATTATAGTTGGAGAATAGACTTTGTATAATTTCAATATTTTAAATTGATTGAGACTTGATTTGTAGCATAAACTAGCATGTGATCCAACTTTGAGAAAGTCCACTTCCACTTGTGAAGAATGGGTGGTCTGCTATTGGTGGAATCTTTCAATGTTTAGAACAAAATCTCTATACTAAAATCCCAAACACTATTTATGTCTACAATGCTCTGTATGCTCAGGATACTGCCTATGTCTCTATCTTATATAGAATTCTTCCCCTTCTTCACTAGTGTCTGTTGATATTAGCACCTTATTTCTGTTCCTAAAATACCCCAGATTCCCAGTTCAAGGTCTTATACTTGCTATTCTGTCTACCTAGAATATTAAAAAACACAAATTAATGACATTCCCATGCTATATATTTTGATAATAGCATCACGTTTTATTTAAGAAATGATGTTTTATAATTCTCATTTTACATATAAGAAAACTGAGTTCTAAAGACATTCATATGTTTGTTCAATGTCACATACTAAAAATCTCTGAGAAAAACTGAAGAATTAATATATATTATTTCAAAATATGCCTAATGTTTCTTGTGTATGACATCACAGAGTCAGGATTCAAACCATGTGTGTTTGACTCCAGAGTCCAAATTTTTATCAGTGTCCAATTTTGCTACATTAGTATAAATGCCAAATAAAATGATATATGGAATACCTATTTGTACAATTTAAAGTTTCTTTAGATAGTCTAAATAAATGATGGATGGATAGGTAGTAAGGAGTATTCTTATTTAACTTCTAATCTTCTGGCTTAAACTTTCTTCTCTGAAATTTTTGCTCATATAGACGTGTGTGTGTGTGTTTGTATATATATATCAATGTACTTCTTTCTTACTACATCCTTTGCACACATTTTTCTCATTGTTTCAAATGTCATTGTAAAAATGGAACAAATCTTTACTCATTCCTCAAGTCTCAGCTCAAATTCCTCTTCTGTGAAGCAGACAGAATCCCATGGGTAGATTTAGAACATTTTCTCTGATATTCTTATTACATTTTGTACCCATATCATTAAAAGTATTATAATATAATTGATTGATTAAAAACACAAACTGTGGGAATTGAGTTCAAATTCAAATGCAGCTACTTATTAACTATGTGACTTTGGGCAAGTATCTTAAATATTTTGTGCCTCAGCATTCTCAGCAGCAAAATGTGAGAAATCATAGCATGGATCTCCTTAAGTTGTAAGCAATATGATACATTTAAAGTTACTTAGAACAGTTCCTGGCAATTGGAAAATATGAAATATTACCTCTCTTTATATACGTTTATTATACACACAGATTATATTAATATATTTATAAATTTTTATTATTGCAACTGTATACTTGTAAGTGTTCCTACTAGTTTACTTATTTTACTTACTTTTTGAAGGCAAAAATGGCACTCTGTTTTTTTAAAACCATAGTTCTTCTCTCTTTATATGCACACAATAAAAATTAAATATTAAATAAAAAACTGTTTCTGTCACCAGTTATGCAAAATTAGACAAATGACATGTTTTATATTTATGAAAAGTGTCAATTTAGAAAAAGTGGTTTCTCTTCTCTTTGCACCTCAAATGTCTCATATAACTTTAAGAAAGCTCTTAGGACACCTGCCCCTGAAAATGCACATTCACTAATATGCATGTATATATATGTGCATTTTCAGGGAGATATGTCCTAAGAGCTTGTTGTGTGTGTGTGTGTGTGTGTGTGTGTGTGACAAACCACTGATTTCCATAAAGCTCATTGTGCTCCGTTTCTCTAAGCAAACTCTGGTGATATATTCCCCAAATTTCTAGTATTTCAAGATTACATAACCTCTGAAGTTTCTTCATTTATTTCTAATGCACTTTATGTGGTGAAGCCTTGAAGATATTTCACTAAAAATATAGTTCTTTTAAATAAAGTGATTCTACAGTGATGGCATATGGAAGACATGATGAGAAGAAAGGAAATAGGTGATTTCCCCAAATAATACAATTTTATAGCAGCCTATAATTGAGGAAAATTCTTTGTAATGTATCTTTTTCCTGTTTCTGGTAAATTTTGTGTGACCTGTAAATGCTGGCTCAAATATTATCTCCTTTAATTTTTGGAATGCTAATTTCGGCTTGCAAGCATAGACACATTACAGGAATTAGCTAGTAATGGGCTCAACTTGACCTTAGCTAGAATGTTTGTTTTAGTTACTGTATGTACTTAATTGTATTTAAAAAACAAAGAATCTAGATTAAAATTTAGCTATATTTGCCAATTAAAATGCAATGAATGTGACTTTTTTATATAAACAGACTTTATTTAAAAATTGGCCTTATAATAATGCCTCACATTCAATAGTTGCTGATATCATAAGAATTTGTTCCTTGAAGTGAATAGCAGGATATTTTTCTAAAAGCCATTTAAGTGCATTAGCAAAGAGTACATATTGCTATTATTTTTTACGTAAAATCAGGTCCATTTTGCCTTGTTTTTCAACTTGCCTGTTAATGAACTCTGAAAGCATTTTCATTTTAGTAATTTGCTTCTAAGATCCTGTCCTCTTGTGGCTTTTGTTCTGTTGATCACCTTTGATCTCTGGTTTTCCTGTATTTATCACTACTTGTTTTAAAGAGATTCTAATCATAGAATCTAGAACATAAGCTGATAATGAAGGATTATCTAAAACTAGTGTGTTAAAAAGTTGATTAAAAATACTTCTTTATACTCAAGTCATTAAAATGTTTTGTGTTGTCTACTAGAGTTATTTCTTCTATTTGGAGAAATATTGAAACTCTAATGTTTAATGTATAAAAGAAAGTTTCAAATGATAACTGTAGAATAACATTTGTAAAAAAAATATAATGCCACAGACTTGCTACTTACATCCAGTAAAAATATTAAAATATACCCAGGGAAGTACATATTGAACATTGTGTACATATTGTGGTTCTTTCTTAAGCAATAAAGAGTCAAACAGGCCTAAGTACTGGCACATAGAGAAATCCCACATTATTTAATTTATTTTGTGGAACTCATTTAAAGAAACAAGACAGTATATTAGCGTTTGCTAATTCCACTTAGTGAGTACACAGATGTTTATTATATTCTATATTTCCCTATATTAAAATTCCTACTAAAAATGGTATAATAAAATATTTAAGAGCTCTGCCTTATTTAAGCCTTAGTTCCTCTGTCATTATGTCTATGGTATGATGAATAATTCACCCAGAGTACCATACACAATAGTAAAACCCATAAGAATAGCAACAACAGCAGCAACTATGACAATTTATTTAGTACAGGCTATTTAACAGGTCTTATGTAAACCAAAGATTTGCATGTATCATGTCATTTATCCATGATAACTGCTATTATTATAAATAAAATTGTATAGATAAAACATTACAGGAAAAGACAAGTCAAATAGTTCAGTGTCACAAAACTATTAAGTGATTCTGTAAGAACTAGAAAATTGGATCAAAAGGGTTTGCCTTAAAAGTTGGTATTGTTGGCAGAAATTTACTATTGTTTTGTCAAGGAATACATGGATTGTGGCCTAGTGTAACTGGTCCCTAAAGTTTAGTGCTAATGGTATACACTGCCCAGGCAACTAAGCCATGTCTCAGAACACAGTGATCCTCCCACCTTGGCCTCCCAAAGCATTCGGGTTACAGACATGTGCCACCATGCTCCACTCCAACTTGCTTTTAAAAAGCCTCCAATCAGCTTCAAGAGAATAATTTGCTACTTTCTCAGAAAAAGCAAATACTTTATCAATAGCAAATAATTTTATCTGACCTGCAGAATGCAGAAAACCTCTCCATCTAATGACATTAGAATAAGAAAAAAGAAATAGCTCTCTGTTGAAAGATGGTGCATTATTTTAGCCCACTTTCCATTGGGATTATAATTTTGGAAATTAGTCTCTCATTTGTTCTTTCTTTGGACAAAAGTCTAAAAGTCAGGTGAAATTCTGTAGGCAACCACATACAAATTAGAGGCTACCAGGATTCCTCAAGGAATTTCTGTCTTCCTGGAGGCAAAAAGGCTTTGGAAGTCATATCTATATGTTTTATATAATTGACTGATGTGCCCTCTGTATTACAGAAGAGAATGGTGAGAGGTCCTATTATTAAAAAACACAAAGTTACATGCATGTGAAATTAAGCAGTTAGTAGAGGGGCATAAACAAATGCTTTCATACCACCCTGCAAACTTATGGCACCTAGTTCTCTAAATATAACTGGGCTGTGTTGACAGATTTTTCTACTTTGGAGGTGAGGACCTGGATGGTCAGAGACGTTTAAACACAGAGGCTGCTCAGTTTGCATGTCCTGGTTAAATGTCTATCAAAAGCTTTAGCACCTAGTAGCTATGACTCAGCAGAGAGGTTGTGCTATAATGAGCTGAGATTTATTGCCAGATAACACTAGGGTTGCCTATGTTCATTAAAAAGATAGTGACAGAATACCACACAAAAACTCACAGCTCCAGGAACTGGGCTTAGTTTTTATATGTGTTCCATTTAACACTTGATCCTGTAAAATTGTAATATACAGATTATTTTTCCAGTTTTATAGAAGATACATGTGAGAGAGTTTGACTAACTTTCCAAATTTACATAGCTAGTGAATAGTGAATGGCAGTGTTTACATGTAAGAACTATGAAGCTCTTGATGCCACATTTTAAAGCTCTATATTGCCTATAAATACAGATTGCTACCAAAGTACAGAAGGAGAATAGGACTTAAAGTCTTGGTGGTCAGGGACACTTTCCCAACAGAAGCAATATCTACATTAAGACATCATGAACCATAGTATTTAAGGTAAAAGGGAGAGTAGAAGGAAAAAAAAATACTTAGTGGAGAGAAACATCACATGCTAAATTCCATAGGTGAGCAAGACCATGGGGGTTTATCAGAATTACAAGCACTCATTATATAATTGTATGATACTGGCAAATTAAGCAGTAGCCACATCATGAATAGCTTTATGTTTCGTATTACATAGTAGGTGGTTTGTTGTGAGAGGAACAGGGACTGCTTAATAGATTTAAAGTGAACAACATAAGGATCAATGTACAACCACCAAGCCAAAAGATGGAAAAGAGCTAGAAGCCCTATAAAAGTGCTTAACTTTACGAAAGTCCCAGAAAGAGGAAGAAGCAGAGCTAGTAGTGGACATGTTTATGTTAGTGATCCTGGCAGAGGCCAGATGACTTTTAGGTCAGTGACTACAGTAATCAGCGTTGGTTCACACTGAAGAGTTGACTTTTCTGGATGCTATGTAACACAAAAATAGCAGCAACAGCAGCTGAAAGAGGGTGCAGAAGATGACTTTTGACAGACATCCCACACCTGGGCTGGTAGGAAGGAAATAGCAGCATAGAGAGAGTAGCTCCCATGCTGGAAAGGAATGGATGGGTGTTAAATGAGATCAGTATTTATACAGGTTTACTGAACACAGACATGAACTAGCTCTGACTGATCATTTGGGAAAGATGCCCACTCAAAGCGTGATGCCCACTCAAATAGTGATTTAATATACTATTAGCATAAACGAAGGTATCCTTCATATTGTTTTTTCCCTGGTAAATAAAAAAAAAATTAGACATCTGGAGAAAGGAATAAAGATGATTTTTTAGTGACTTACGCAACATGCCCTCTTTCATTATACTTGGCTCAACCCTTCTAGAATGATTCAACCACAGATCTATGAAAAGGATTCTTGGAAAGATTATCACAGCTAGGGTATAGAGCAGACTCCAAAGTAGGAGTTTGATCAAAGGGAGAGGAGACTGGGAACTCTTCTGCATTTTCACAACTGTATTCCAGAAGTTGTGGAATGACACCATTAATCACATGAACTTTAACTGGCATGGAAATCAGGCATAACTTGTGTGGGTCATTGACTTGTGAAAAATAATATTTCCTTCATTAAAGCTCATCCAACTGTCATCTCTTTTTCTTTTCTAGCAACATTTAACAGCAGTAAAGCAGACTTTTATCACTTATCCCTGACTTACATTGACAACCTCCAAACTTGTCCTTCTCAACTTAATTTTTTCCTCTCTAATCCACACAACAAACATTTATCCTCCCATTCCACCAAATTGCACTTACCACTCTATACTTTATTTAATGGCTCCTCTTGGTATACAAGATCAGCTTAAACATAACTTAAATGACATAAATAGGTCTTGACCATGACCTCTACCTACTCCTTGAAATTTATTTCCCATCACTCTTCCAAGAAAATACTCTGTTCTAGTAAAACTAGTTCATGCATTGCTTCTTCACATGTATACGAAGCAGAGGTTAATGTTTCACTATCTTGTACGTCCATAGCCTTCTTCTGAGCTGCGTCCTCTTCTGAGCAGTGTCCAAAAGAAATGATTGATCCACTGATTTGCCATGGTTTGCCCCATCTGTGAGGCTATTGTGCTTAAGAGCTAAGCACACACAGTGGGTTCAAACCCTGCCTCTTCCCCCACCTAGCTGTGTAAACTTTATGACTTTTGCAAGTTCTTTAACCATTTTATACAACTGGTACTAACAATTATCATGGTAATTACTATAAGGTATTGTTGTAAGGTTTAAATGATTTGCTGTAGTTAAAGAGTTTGGCATATAGTAGGTCAACCTTAAATGTTAGCTGCTATCATTTTTATATCTATGAAACAACCCGAAAGTCCTGCCTAAGGTCCAGAGATAGGAGAGGCAATTTCTGATTAGGTTGAAGTAACAAAATTTCATTTAAGAACTAAAGCGAGCCTCCATAGAAAGTTCTTTGAGTCCTGAATAAACTTGAGCCCTAGACGTTGCTAGGCACCATAAAGGGCCCAGAGGACATATATTGGGCCAGTTTAAATACTTTAACAGGTTTAATTCTCTTTGAGGAGAAATGGAGGCACAAGCGAGCAACAGTGCGAGTTCACCCTCTTCTTCAAGAGAGTTACAATACTGTTGAGGTCATAGTATTGTTGAGGGCCTTGGGCTCATATTGGATGATATCCAGATGCCCTTGGCATCCCATTTGTGTGAATTAGAACCAGCCAAACACCTAAGGGGCTCCATTTTACAGTTTGACACTTATTCAAAGATTCTATTTTATCCTAAACAGCATAACGTTTAAGATACTAATTAAACTTAATTCTCCCAGGTATTTTTCCACTTCTTTTACTTCTCTCTCTCTCTCCCTTTATAGAAGAAATAATTTGTATATAATAAAAAAACCATTGGCTACCTTAGAGATTCATATACAGGGCTATTTTATATGGATAGAAAAATATGGTAAGTCTTTAAATAAATAGCTTAAATTGGTGGTTATAATTTGCTTCAATTGTTTACAGTAATTGTATAAGAAAATAACTTGATTATTTTAAGAACTGTTTCAATAAAATCACACTTCATGTTTATCTACTGCTGCCCTCCATAGGAAAGGAGATCAGTGATGCCCTTTTTCCCTGCTCCCCTCCTTGTTTCATGCACAAGGAAGGCTCTGGAGCAAAGGGCTTTACAGCACTGTCTGGAGTTCTCCCATCTATTGATTGAGGTCAGTGGTACTGATGTGGTCATACTTCCTGAATGTAGACTCTCCCTTACCAGGAGGAACATACATAGAGCTGTACTGAAAAACACATGCTGAGAGTGGTGGAGGTCAAAATTAAGGTGAGGCCTCAGGAATGAATGGCCTTTCAACCCACTTTTGATGGCTCAAACCATGTACAACTTAGGCAAAAGGAGTTCTGCCAATGGTTTAGCCCAGCTCATTAAACACTTTCTTTGTGAACAGAGCTAATAGGTTGACAGGATGGCCCACAGCCCCCAGGAGCTGTAGCTGGCCTCCAGGCCCTTACTCACATTCATTCTCTCTCTCTTCCACCACAGATTGTGCCCCATGGATGGATTTAAATGTATCTTTGGAATGAGTGATTAGAAGAAGACAGAAACTGGGTAATTCCGAGTTTTCTGTCAAATACTATATTCCTAATATCATCCTATCTTCAGCATTTTACTTAGTTCATGTGAGTTTATTCCAGATAGAGTCTACTCTGGTCCACAAATTAAACAGTGTTTGTTTTTTTCTCAAAGGAAACTTTTGAAGGTTATCTATCAGCCTCTGTACTGGAGAGTTAGCCTCTTGAATCAAGTGAGCTAAAGTACACAAAATTGACCCTTCACTGCTTTTAGAACTGTCAGTTTTGCAGAACTCCTCACTTACGAGTCATTCTAAGTGACATTTGCTTCACCTTTCTTTGAAGCTCTTATCACATAGACGCTGGTGCTATCAGCTGAGCTATTATGGGGATAACACATTGAAGCTGCAATAATTTCTAGTTTCCATCTTCAAAAACAAAATACATTTGGTCAAGTATGTGTTAGCCTTTTTCTTTCACATACAGATTCTCAGTTTAAAACTCCTTTGTTTCATCTTAGTAGTCTCCCTTTACTCTCTACACATCCCCAGGCCCAATAGTTCACTACTCCTATAAATGGAGAGAGATTGTACCTTTTTTATGATATATTAAAAACACAAACTGTGTATTTGTGTGGATGTACAGTCAGAGTCTCTCAGTCTGAGAGAAATTCAAGTGTGATAGGCTTTGGAACTTTAGGAGGCTCTGCTGGCTTGAAGTATTTTGGGCTATTATAGACAGAAGCCTATTTTCCAAGGGCTACAATTAGTAGCCAATTACAATATCTGTAACAGTGAAAGATTTCACAATGCAATGCAATGCAAAGTAAAGTTGGACAAGTAACAACATTAAAAAGACATTGATGTGATCCATTGCAAACTTTGGACATGTCATTCTGTTTAGGTTCTCTTTTTCTGCTTAGTTAGACTTTGCATCCATTTCCCTCATTCTTAACTACTGAGCTTTTTTGCTCCATTCCTGCCTCCTGAATCTTCCCAGACTCTCCCTCCTGGCTACTTTTCAATTCAACAAACCCCACATTATACATAACACATTACATTCTGCTGAGTACTGTAAAGAACATTAATAAATTACAAAGCTGTTTTTGAAATATGCATAGTCTTGTAAGGGAGACAAGATTTAACCAATGAACCAATTCAAAAAGTGCCAAATGTAATAGAATCAAGAGGCAACGCTCATAGACTATCAATAAAATGGTCAATAAAGAATCAAGTTCATGTTATTGTTGGCTGACAATTTGCAAAATGCTTCTCAAAGTTACCGAACCCAGCAATATAAAGAGGGGAGAGAGCCTGACTGAGCCTATGACATTTCACAGACTTCATCTCCTGGTTCCTAATCAATATTATATTAAAGAAAAAACAAATCAGAATGATGGAACAGCCTAGCAAAAATTCAGACATGATAGTGTGTCAGAGTGTGCCAAGGAGGTGCATTTGAAGGATCTGGTTCTTGTGGGAAATGGCAGAAGATAAAGTCATATTGCCTTTTTAAAAAGCATTTTCTTTAGACCACTAGTCTAGAAACGTGGTATAGCATACCCCTCCTAGATATTTGCTTGCTCATTAGCATATTAAAATATCTGGAGCCTTAAATATATTCAGATGTTAACTTTCCTTCAACTCATCATTTTACAAATTTCCTTGACCACAAGCCATTAATGACCCTTATTATATAAACAATTTCTTATAGGCTATGCTTTAGGAAATGTGGGATGATGTATATCAAGTAGAATATAAGAAGTCTAGAATGGCAGCATAGAGTTGATTTTTTTAAATAGGGAAAGTTATTGAGTAAGAAACTTAGGTGATCCAGTTTACACATTAAGGACACCCTTCTGTGTGATGAACTAGAGAAAATAAAAATCTTGAAATCAAAGACCACTAAGGAGATAATTGCAAGATGTTTGTTTGTTTTTATAAATTTGAATAGGTTGATGGAATTTAAAATAAAAAAACAAAGGAACAATTCTTTGGGCAAGAGAGATGTGGGCAAAATAAATGGTGTCAACATCAAAATAATGAAAGAAGTAACAAAACAAGATCACTGAAAAGAAAGAAGCTGTTGGGGGGAGGGGGGCATGACAGGAGCTAAGCCAGTGGGAATACTATCTTGATATAGGCTGTAAAAATAAAGTTGGGATAAACGTGTTTAGACACAGATGGAGAACACTCAGCCCCAAGAATGCAGTGACGTCAAATAATGAGCCAGGTTTTTGTTTTTGTTTGTGTCTTTCTGTATGGCTCTTAGCCATCAGTCTTATTATTTAACAGGCATACATGTTATGATCCCCTAAGGAGAGAAGGTGATTACAATAACCTTGTATATTTAAGAAAAATTGAAAATGTGGGGTTTGATGTTTTTTATTTTGTTTTCACTATTTTATGGTATCAGAAATACCTGAGGTCCATGTTTCAAGTACCAATTAATGGACAGGGACCCAATAATCTGTCATTTTTTAAGCACGCTAAAGTGGAGAACAACTGCAGGATCTGCAAAGCTAACATACCTGAAAATTGCTACTCCTTGCAGCAGCTGTGAGAATGTGCCTGGCTGATGTCCCAGAGCAGGAGGTATCAGCCAGCAGCAATAGCCCACAACTGCTGCATTCCAAAATTCAATTTGTCCTGCCTTGAATTGAAGACCGTGCCTAGGCTGCTTCTGGCCAGTACCTACTGCTGCAAGAATACTAAGGCAGACTCACTCTGGGGAAAGCAGGGGCCCTTTGAGTGCCAACCATTGGCTTTGTCAAACCTTTCTTGGAAGATCTGGCAGGCTGGGAAGATTTTGAAAACACCTGCCCAGGCTTTCTCTCTTTCTCCTTCAGTCATGGAGATGCAGTTCTTTTTGCACCCTGGTCTGATAGCTCACCCAGTCTTCCTGAATTCCTGACAATTTTGTCATCCAGACAATTTTCCTAATATGGTCCATGCATTTTTAATTCCTTCTTGTTGTCTGCTGCTTGGAAGACATACTAACACCCTTCTTTGCAGTTTGAATAAACTATGATGAACATAGTTTCTCTATTTGCTAATGACACTTGTTGTATATTCTCATAATACAATTAGATTGCATAGGTTCATTGATTCAGAATCTACACAATAATTTTTTAATAATAATATCACTTTATTGAGTGTTTATGATGGATCAGGTAGTGGGTAAGCCCTTTACATCTATTATTATAATTAGTTCTGTGCTGGTGAACAGCCTTTAAAAACAAAAAAAAAAATGTATTTTAGCCAATTTATGTGGTTGTAAACACTCCCACCACAGCCAATTTCAAGCTATTAACAGGATTAACAACAAGCTGGTGAAATGTTTGATAAGTTAGTAGCTGGCTCCTGAAGGTTTGTAGGAGCCTACCTCAACACACAAGACACACTGTAGTCCTTTTTATCAGTTTTGAGGTAGGGTTTAATCCTAGTTTTACTGTTGAAGACCCACAAAAAATATTACAGAAGTTAGGCAATTTGTCCAAATCACAGGCTTGAGATTTGCATCCAAATCTGAAGGACTATTAATTGAACTACTTCCTAGGTGTCTCAAAGACTCTCTGAATCCCAAATCATAGCTAATTTAAGCCAAATAAAAGGAGAGAGAAGGGCTTAGTGAAAAAAAACTCAGATATGTCTCATAGAGCTCAAGATCAGGCAGCTACACTTCAGAGACTTATGAAGCCACCTGGATTCTCCTCATTGCTTCCTGGCTCCTTCTGTTCCACTCAATTTATCTTTATGAGACTACCATCATGACCTGTTTCTGTGTTTCATGTGGCAGGTAGAAAGAGGCTCCTGAGCTTATGAGCTCATGTTTTACGTATAAAATAACTCAGAGAAAATTTCTTTCTTTCTACTCTTAAGTTTAGAAGTCCTAGGAAGGTATTCTTACTGGCCCAGTTTAGGTCAGATTTCCACCACGGTTCTATCAACTGCATTTTCCCTGTGGGTATGGTGAGAATTAAAAGAGGAAAGGTTGTAACCTGAACAGGTGCCCCAAATGGAGTCCACAGCATTGTTTTACATGACAAAAAATATTGTTACATTTGTAATATAGTAATGTGTGTATGTATGTATATGTATATATATATATACATATATTTAAATAGTACGTTATCTCTTTTTCAGTACAAGTACTTAGGCACAATAATCTCTCTGAGTTACTCATTTTTAATTTTTCACTCTTATATTACCCCTAGGTTTTATGAGTCTTATACATTTTTATTTCGTTAGTATATTATTTTTCTTAAGAGATGGGTTCTTACTCTCTTGTCCAGGCTGGAGGGCAGTGGTGTGATCATAGCTCACTGTGACCTTGAATTCCTGGGCTCAAGCGATCCTCCCACCTCAACCTCCCAAGTCCTAGTATTATGGTTGTGTGCCATCATGCCAGGCTAAATTTTGAGTCTTGATAAAGTCAAAATCACAATGATTTCTTTACTCCTGACTAAGCCAAGTATCGAGGGTAGATGGGCTCAGACTCTTTGAGTGGCTACCATAGATTTCAAATCCCCTTAAACATGCATATATGTTACACATGCATTTACTTAAAAGCTTATCTTTATACCAGCCGTCATTCGCATGTTACAAACCAATAACTTGCTACGTATCAAACAAAAACCCATTTTTCTTCCTTATTTACTGCCCAGGAATGGGAAAGATAGATAACTGATCTCCTCAGCCAGCCACATATATTTAATACTAAGTAAAATAAATGGTGTTTATTACACTGAGAATGGGGGAGGTTAATGTATATTTTAAAAGAGCATAATACAACTTTATAACAAAGATATGATATGATTTATCCACAGGAAGGATACAAATAAACAGAAACAAGCTGAACAGGTTCTTAAGCTTTAATATAATGGACAGCACCATTTAATAAAATATGTCAGGATTTTTAAGAATCAGAGAAAGTCGTTGTGGAGTTCAAATGCAAAACACAATCTTGTAAAAAGTCTTCTTTTTCAGAATATTTTTGGCTAAATATAAGAGACTAGCTCTCCCAGATATTTAAATAAATAATAAAGCTACAATAATAAAAGCAGCAGGCTATCAACCAGTAATAGGTTAATACCCAATGAAACAGAATAGATAATACAGAAATAGAATCATATAGAGATTGAGCATATGATAAAACTGGCACTTAACCTCTATGGGGAAAAGACAGATTATTCAATAAATCATTTCGTGACAATTAGCCATTTCAGAGGAAAAATAATACTGAATCTCTATTTTTGTTCAAAGATAAAAATAGACTCCAGATGAAAAAATACTGGCAAAACAAGAGGCCAAAAACTACTAGACAAAAACAAGAGTAATTTACATTTTTGATAGTTTTTAAAGGGGCAAAATAATTTTTTAAAACAGGAAACAAAGTCCAGAAGCTTAGAAACATGGCTTAAATATATTTTAAAAAACTCCCTTTTACAAAAAAAAAAATCTACAATAAAATTAAAAGATAAGAAAAGAGGTTAAGATTGTTTCTTTTGATTCCTAAATTGCAAGTATTCCCAAGGTGATGCTGTGGCAAGTCCACATGGCTTGAGCACATGAGTTGGATACACTGGGTCCTCTATTCTCCAATTTTCACAGTGGTCCACCATGAGCAAGGCTCTTCTGTTTGTGGAAGACCTGATATCAGGGAGCATCTCAGACACTTGAGCTGATAACTAGTAAACTGCAACTTCTCACCTGGAATGGGGACTGTCTTACATTGTCTAATTTTTGCAGGGATTTCCAATAGCCCTTGACCTCAGGGCTCCCTCTCTTAAAATATTTTGCTGCTGTTGTAGTAAATTTTTTACTTTAGGTGAATTTCTTTTCTGGAACTCTCTCATAACCCTCCCTATCCTCCCATCAACATGTGCTTTAGTTGTTAGTGGTTTTTTTTTTTTTTATTATTTCAAAATCTTGGTTATTCATGGAAGTGAACTATGAAATAATTCTGAAATGAGCCTATACTTTATAATTATCATACCCAATAAGCAGTATTCATACTAATAAACAATATATTCACAGGTATTTCAAACTGAAATGGAAATTATAATAACTGTGAGCAGATCAGGAAGCCAGGGACTCCAGTGGGGGAGTTGACAATGTACTGCTAAATCCTCTCTGCCATACAAAAGACCAGTTTGAGCAATCTTTCTTACCTTCATTCTCTCTTCCATAAATGAATATAATAGTAGTGCCTTCAAATTTAATTTGTTTTTATGAGCACTAAATAAGATAATATATGTTTGACAACCTACTACAGTGTTTAGCATCTAATTTCTGAAAAATTACTAGGCTTTTTTCCATTAGGTACATTTTTCAAGCAAAATTACCCAATCAATCACTAAAAATATATTAGTGTAAAGTATTAACATCTATGAAAGGGTGCTATGGTGAGATCCATTGTATAAAAAAATACTTTACAAATTCCTTGCCACCACACAGCTGGGTGAAAGTCTTCTGCTAAACTCAAAGGATATTTTTAATTTAATCATCAACATTTTTACCAAATAGATTACCTTTTCTTAGAAGGATCTGAAAACAATGGCACTTCTAAATTGATAAAGTCTCAATATATTACACCCCAGCATAATTTATCATAAAATAATAATGATTTTTTGCCTTGCCATCGTTAGTTTTATTTAATTAAAAATGATTTGATTCATACTCCTCCAGGGTAAATAATCATTAATTTGCATGGCTGTTGACTAATTTCTAAACACAGGATTGTCCGTTTCAGTATGCACCATTGTGTAGATAACTAAAGACAACTTCTCTGCTAGAGACATTCAGCTTCGCTAGTTCGATTCAGGAAAAGGAGTTAGAAGCATAGCGACAATACATGCAGTCACACTGTCCTTGTGCCCCTCATTTCTCACTTCTCTCTTTTGTCATGCACTTCCTCACTTTCTCAATCTTCATGAATCAGCCTGTGAGCCAGGAAATTCTTTTTTTTTTTTTTTTTTTTTAACATTTATACCACAGAGATGGCATAGGGAATTCCATGATATGGCCACATTCTTTGTCCTTTCCCCCAAAAGCAACAACATAGTCTTGAGAGATCTTTCTGAGGTAGAGAATCATACGTTTTTGCTGACATCTGACATTGAAGTGTAATTCTTAGCTGAAAAATTCTAGCAAAAATGGTGTCTGTGAGGTAAATTTTAGGCTAATTTCAGCCATCCCTTGTTCACCCAGTTGGCTTCTTCCTGAAAGCATGCCTTTTAAATATGCCATGTCCCACTTCTCTCTCTCTCTCTCTTTTTGTTGTTGTGTTTTTTATTTTTGTTTTTTGTTTTTTTGTGAGACAGAGTCTCACCCTGTCGCCCAGGCTGGAGTGGATTGGCCCACGGCTCGCCGCAACCTCTGCCTCATGGGTTCAAAGAATTCTCCTACCTCAGCCTCCTCAGTAGCTGGAATTATAGGCACTCACCACCACGTCCAGCTAATGTCTGTATTTATAGTGGAGACGGAGTTTCACCATGCTGGCCAGGCTGACTCAAACTCTTGACCTCAAGTGCTAAGATTACAGGCGAGAGCCACCATGCCTGGCCCCCCACTTCTCTTTATAACCTGACATGGTTTGGACCTGTGTCCCCATCTAAATCTCATGCTGAATTGCAATCCCCAATGTTGGAAGTGGGGCCTGGTGGGAGGCGATAGGATCATAGGGACGGTTTATCACAAATGGTTTAGTGCCATCCTCTTGGTATTTTCCTCGCAATAGTGAGTGCGTTCTAGCGCAATCTGGTGGTTTAAAAGTGTGTAGCACCACCCCCTCCCTCTTTCTTGCCCCTGCTCTGGCCATGTGACGTGCTGGCTCCCCCTTTGCCTTCTGCCGTGATTGTAAGTTTCCTGAGGCCTCCCCAGAAGTCGAGCAGACGCCAGCATCATACACTCTGTACAGGCTGTGGAACCATGAGTCAATTAAATCTCTTTTCTTTATAAATTACCCCGTCTCAGGTGTTTCTTTATAGCAATGCAAGAACAGACTAATGCATAATCTTATACTATGAACATTGTAGTCAATATATTCCCTTATCAGGGTTGTTTACATAAATTATGAGCTCAATGAAAGATAAAAATGTGAGGCCTTTTATTCAAAGATTATGGGAAAAAAGTGTAGATATAAGGCATTAAAATATAAAGTTTTTTGCTGTCTTCTATAGTCTCTCTCTTGCCTTGATATGTCTTTGTTTAATTTGCCACTTAATGTTTTTCTAAGTAATAAAAAATTTTAAATTATTAGCATAAATTTTAACGCTCACCTATATTATTCAATACCATTTTAAAAACCAAATAAGCTGGTTTTAAAATACCAGATTTAAAAACATCTAATTCTTAACCATTGAAATGACACAATTTGTATTTGGTAGCTCATACATTTCTCTCTTGAAAGAACAGTGAAAATACTACAGCAGAAAACTGCTCATATGTTTTTATTTCATTTCTTCATAGGCACGTATTCTACCAACACTCTCTAACTTCAGCTTACTGATAAGTCAAGAAAGACAGGCAAAAAGGAAAATAAACTATCAGTTGCTCTATCTTTTCCTTTTTTACCTTACTTTTATTTTCAGCATTAATAATTTTCTGATATAAATAAGTAATATGATGAAGAAAGTGTTTGATATGGATCCTTGGTTGAATCCTGCCATTGCCTTAAGTTTGAAGCAAGTTCTGGTTCCTAGTAAATTGTGGCCTCTGGGGGCTTCAGAGCCCCCTTTGATGGAATATGTTTAACTTTTACTCCTTTTGATTGTTGTTGAACTCCCACAAAGTGTGGGTCCATTGAATTCTGTGTTCATGGGGCCAATGCTCTATGAACACACTTTAGTCATATGCATTCTTCATTGTCCCATCAGATTTCACTTACAAAACACAAGTTAAAAGATAAAATTGTTAAGAATTTTGAGATGCTGCCAACAGAACATTAAAGCAAGCATGGGGTCCTTCTGAATGCAGCATGCTGTGTGACTGCAGAGGTCTCTCACCCATGAAACCAGTCTTCATGACTTAGCTTCAATGTTAAAACCCTATGAATTCCCGAGTTACTCTCTATTCTTATTTCCATATAAATGAAAACATAAGAGCAGGTAACATTATATTGTAGCTAATAGTTGCTTATTTGGGGCTTCATTCCTGAATTATATTGTTAACTACTTCATCTTTATATCCTAGTCTGGGCATCATAGAAATTATTTAGCTCATTGTAGATGCTTAAAATATCGAGTGAACACATTACTGTAAGAATAAAAGGATTTTCGAGTTTTAAAAGTAAATAAAACATGATTTAGAGTATATTATTCCTAAGTGTTTTAAAAAGTTTTATTGTGACTTCAAATAGTATCAAGTTAATAGTAAATGTATTTGTGGTGTTATGGACTGCTTCCAGTATGCTGAAAAAGTTGTATGAAGAGGATATCTCATTAAATCATTAGAATGTCTCTGTAAGGAGAAACAAAGCGATCATATATTGATTGTGCACTATGAACCATGTTCTTTTCTAGGCACTTAGCAAGCACTTTTTAATTCAATTTTCCTAAAAGATTTTTAAAAATATGTGAAATGACCCATTTTCCAGATGAAGCTAAAAGTGATTCATAGAAAGTAAACTTGCCCAAGATCACACAGATACTAAGGGTTGACATTTTGACTGTAACTGATTCCAAGTCCAATAGTCATTTTACCAAATTCCAGTGGCTTCACAGTACCTTGTTATCATCGGAATAAACGAGTCAGAAAAGGAAATACTTATCATTAACTCTTATAATATACTTTACTCCTTCCTTTTAATCATTCTTTTTCCTCTTGCATTTAACTTAAAAAATATGGATGTGAACCCCTTTTGTTACATAAAATACTCCTGAGACAATTTGAGAAAGCAAGCCTAGAGTTGCCTGGGCTTGGCCTGGAATGCCTTCTTTTCTCTCTTTCCCTGTTAATTCCTTCCCAGTTCAACTCCTCCCTCTCCATGAAGCTTTTTCAGAAGGGTTATCCTTAGGGCTCCTTTTTATTTTTTTGTCTGACTCATTATAGTTTACCCTGCAATCCAGCAGGTGCATGACACTTGATTAATTTATTTATTCACACACACTTCCTGAATACCTATCATGTGCTAGATATTATTCCTTGTTCTTGGAAGACATCAATGAACAAAAGAGGTAGACATCTCAACCCGCATGAAATTAGATCATATTCAAGAGAGCATTGTGAGCTTTTATTTTCCCCCTTGTTATTTAATTGTTTTGTATGGTGTTTAACATGAGGATCTTTATTTCTGTAGACTTCAAGTTCCTTTGAGTGAGTGAAAATGCTACTTTTATGACATAATGATTTGAATTTTAACACAGCAGTGACCATTTAGTAAATATTTAGTTAATAATTGGACTTTTGTTAACATAAAGTGACCAGATTTTAATTAATTTTAGATATTCACATAATAATAATAGGCAGTAGTAGCTTTTTAGCAGTGAAGCAAATTCAAATTTTAAGCCCTAATATGTGCCGTACACTTTAGATATGTTTTCACTTAATTCTCACTAAAGCCCAATGAAATAATTATTGTTCCCAACTTACAGATCAGGCTTTTGGAGGCTGATTTAGTTGTTTTAGATAACACATTGTGTAAATGACAGAACTGGGATTAAAACCCAGGTATTTCTAAATCCAGAAGGCACACTGTTTGCAAAATACTATAATTACTGCCCAAATAGGAAGCGATTAGCTTGAGTGGACAGGAGCTGAAGCTAGTCATATACATCTCAAACATTTATTCATTAGCTACCTGAGTAACATAAAATGGCTCAGTTTTATTGATAAGTTCATGGAAGATAGAACAGTTTTAATGCTCCTCCCACTGAATCCTAGATGCATACTAAATTAACTAGATACATAATACATACACATATAACCATAAAAACGTTCAGTGAACAGGCTCCTCACATAACCTATTACATTTAAGATGCCATCAATGGCCTAAACCTCCAGGCTCCCAGTATGGTGCTTTAAATCCCACAGAGGCAGCATAAACCAAGGGTTGTGAGATATAAAAATCATTCCATTCAAGAATAATCTGGAGTGATCCATGCCTGTCCATTGTCACATTTGTGATATTTTTGCATATTGGAAAAGTATAAGGTTAGAGTCTTCAGCAGGAAGGAAACGTGACACTTTTACAGACAGAGGCAGTGTGGTGTTTTAAAATATGTAGGCTTAGAGCCAGTCAGATGTACCTTGGTTCAAATATAATCTCAGCTAACTTTGCTGAATGACTTTGGCTGAAACTCAGAACTTTGGTGAATAAAATGGAAATAGTAATCATAATCTTAATAAAGTTAGAAATAATTTGTGAGAAGTACCTGGCACATAGCAGGTGTTCTAATGTCCCAATTCCCTCATGTCATCTAGAAACCCACTTACTTTTCTGACTAGGCAACTTGTTTTCATTCTTTAGAGCCCAGTGTCAATATCCACTCCTCTTTGAATCTAGACTTAGTCACTCAGAGAGAACTGGATGCTCCACCTCTCTGCCCTAACACTTCTTACCTGCCTTGTAAATGCACACACTACACCTTTCATCATGTGCTCTTGTCTGTTCATCATCTTCAAGCTACTGTAGCTCTTGGAGGAATAAACTACATCTGATTCATATATATTTTTAAAATTTTTATTTTTTTTCAGGGTACATGTGTAGGATGCGCAGTTTTGTTAATAGGTAAATGTGTGTTATGGTGGTTTACTGCACCTATCAACTCATCACCTAAGTATTAAGCCCAGCATGCATTAGCTATTTTTTCCTAATGGTCTTCCTCCCCACACCCCAATACCCAGCAGGCTCCCCACTGTGTCTGTGTGTCATGATTCATATTTCTATCTGCTCTATGGGAGACCCTAATAAGATTTCTCTGGAATGTATGAGCATGTGACAAACGTGATACCCAAAGGCAGTAAATAGGTTTGGGAGTCAGTCAGAGGTGGCAATAGAAAATCCATTTCTTTTCTTTCAGTATTCTGCTCCATTCACTCTCAGGGAGCATCACTTTTGATAAATATATAAAGAACAAATTACATCTGTGAAAGAAAAACAAAATAAAATCTGTTTTATTTTCTTGGTGAATGTTTTACTCTTGGTTTACAGTTACAAACTTTTGGGTTATAATAAATATTTTTAAGCAGCTAGTGGACAAATTTCAGGTTATTTGCCCAAGGCTTCTGCTAGACATCTAAGGTTTCCACTCTGTCAAAAGTTTTATTGCCACATGCTGATCCCACACCTTGACAGTGATGCTGTATTTAAGACCAGATGATGGGCAAAACACTAGAAGAGGCCGGTGACTCTTCTATGTGAGACAAAAGGTTACTCTGGCTACATTCCTGAATTTTAACAAAAACAAAATAGTTGACTTTAATGAAGCGCTGAAGCTCTGGAAAGTCACAAGATCGATCATAGAGCTAGAAGGTACCTTAATATCATCTAGCCACATATCATCATTTTGTGTCTGTGAAAACTGCAATAACTGAGACGTTCATTAACTGACCTAATGGAAATAATGTTAGATACCTGTGCAAAATCCAGCTTCTACTGAGAGGCATCCATGGGGCCAATTGTTTCAAAATGTTTCTGCACTTTGTTTACTAAAAGCCATTATCTTCCCCATGGATAATTCTTATTACACATAGCATTTACCTTGACCTTTATAATTATCCTCAAACATGGGGTCAAATTTTGATGTATAACATGGATAAAGAAAGAAATATAAGAGAAGCTGTCTCTTTAATTCTTTATCAGAGAACGTTACTGGCGGAGGCCACGCATGATGCCCATTTTTGACTCTGAACAATATCCCTTCACCATATTTTACTTCCCTACCCAAACTATTTCAAAATAATTGGGTTTGTTGTAGTTTAGGTTTTTCTAATTGATAAACTATTTTTGAGAGCACTTTTAGATTCATAGTATAACTGAGCAGAAGGCAGAGTTCCTTCTGTGTCTCCCCTTCTGAAACAGGTACAGCCTTCCCCACTGCCCTGCACGACAGTGTGTGTTTGTTAAAATCAATGAAACTATATTGACAAAACATTATCAACCAATACCCATAGATTATATTAGCTCTCAGTCTTGATGTTGTACAAAATATGGGTTTGGACAAATGTATAATGGCATGTATCCATCATTGTAATATTATGTTTCACTTCCCTAAAAATACTGTCTCCTCCCTAACCCATGGTAACTACTGATCTTTTAATTGTCTCTATAGATTTCCCTCTTGCAGAATGTCATATAGTTGGCATGACATGTAGCCTTTTCAGGTGGATTTTTCCTTTAGTGATATGAATTTAAGTTTCCTCCATGTCATTTCTTGGCTTGATAGCTCATTTCTACTCAACCAAATAATACAATTGTTTGGATGTACCACAGATTACTTACTCATTTACCTACTGAAAGACATCTTGGTTACTTCTAAGTTTTAGCAATTATAAATAAAGCTGCAATAAACATCTGTGGACATCTTTTTGTGTGGACCTGTTTTCAACTTATTAGAGTAAAAACTGAAGAATGCAATTGCTGGGTCATATGGTAAGAGTATGTTTAATTTTGTAAGAAACTGTCAAACTGTCTCCCAAAAGGCTGTCTCATATGTCTCATTTTGCATTTGGATCAGCAATGAATGGGAATTCCTGTTGCTCCACATCCTTTTCAGCATTTGTTGTTGGTATCTGGGGTTTTAGCCATTCTAATAGATGTGTAGTGGTATCTTATTATTGTTTTAATTTGAAATTCCCTAATTATCTAAGTTATGGACTGAATGTTTGTGTTCCCCTCAAGGTTTATATGTTGAAATCTTAACCCCCAATAAGATAGTATCAGAACGTAAGGCTTTGGAGAGGTAATTAGATCATGAAGGTGGAGTTTTAATGAATAGAATTAGAGTTATTATAAGAGGAGATATAAGAATAATGATTTTTCTCAAATATGTAAGGATACAATGAGAACACCTTCATCTGCAAAAGAATAAAAATGCCCTCACCATGCACTGTATCTGTGACCACCTTGATCTTGAACTTTAAGTGCTTGTTATTTAACCCAATTAGTCTATGATATTATATTGTAGAAGCCCCAAATGACTAAGATAACATACAATGTTAAACATTATTCATTATGTTTATTTGGCATCTTTATATACTGAGTTGACTTTTCTGGGTTCTTTACTTTCCATATAAACTTCAAAGCACCTTATTAATATCCACAAAATAATCTGCTGCTATTTTGATTAGGATTGCTTTGGATCTATAAATAAATTTAAGATTAACATTTTTAAAAGTGAATTTTTGTAAGAACAACTATCACCGGATTTTTGGAAACACGATATTATTGAACATTAGTATTCTTTAACAATTAGATAAGAGAGAGATAAAATGCCTTTAGAAAAGAAGACATTCTCTTTGGTGAAAACATTTCAAAATAAAATTGTATACTAGAAACCTTACATGATAAATTGATTCTAGTTCAACAGGCTGGAGAAAGAAACAAGCCTGCAGGCATTCCATGTAAAAGAAATAAATTTATAAGCATTTACGCTATTAATAATTGCCTTCTCCCCTGTGGCTTCATGGTTTCTGCAAGTCTCATTCATAACACTAACTCACACTGCCTAGAGTTTATGAAGAGTAGATTAAGGAAAAAAGAAAGCCTTTGGATGAGAATTAGTATCAATGCTCATTTGGCTTAGAGACAAGTATATTTGCTAGACATTTGATTTAAAACTCTCGTGTCGACTTTACGTTTATGTTGTTTCTGTCCTATTAAAGATGTTCACCAAATAAGTTGTGAAAGACTCTAAGCACCAAGAGACTTACTCAGTCTTCTAAGATCCTGTAGGGTATCCTTGTCAAGAAATGAGGTTATTACATGTAGCTCATTTCAAAAAAGTAAACATTCTTCCTGCTCCTGGAAGGAACTTGGATAAACATCTGGCTAATAGCTGTGATTAGAAGACGCTCATGTTACTAATCTAGATCACAGTAGGACTTGATTTTTTGTTTTTAATTCTGAAACTCCTGTCAAAGTGGATTTTGTTGTAGGGGCCTTCAATATGAGTATATTTATAAATGAGATACATTTGCCTTACCATACCACCATTTTAAGTAAAATTTAAATTGCAAAGTATAAAATTGCAAGGATGAGTTATAAAGCAAGTACAAATCGCAATCTGGAGTTGAATGCCAAGATAAACACCTAGAAGAATCAAGAATGTTTGCTTTGGATCCAGCAGAACAAGATCATGGAGAGGAGGTGAGGATTCTTGACATTTTCATTAAAGCTCTTTTGGTGTCATTTGACTTTTTAAACAATTTATGTTATTTTACTGATAAAAATTATGGTTAAAAACCACTTTTACCCCTAAAGCTATTGAAATAAAAATAAAAATTTAAGATATTTTTAAAAAACAATAAACCAAAAATATAATAAAACATTTTTTAAAAGTATGTCTAAACTTCTAATATATTTGTCCTGCACTATAATAGTATGTCTTAAAGATCTCCTGGTAAGCAAGCACCTCACTTTGAAGACAACTGATCTAAACCACTTTGCTATATTTTCCTTGACACAAAGAATAGTAAGTTACATTTTATGTTGAACAGTGACATTTACAAAATAAAAGAGAAATAAAACATGGATAAACAGCTGAGCAAAAGTTCTGAGGTTTATTCCATTTTTACTTGTTTTTTATATATTATTAACAAAACATATACTTTACTGTACATTCATATGCCAAACATTAAGCAAGATTCTGGAGACTCAGAAATCAATCATAAGTATGGCTGAAAATGGAAAGATCTGATTCCTTATCCTGTGTTATTAAAATATTTTTAACATTAGCTAAATTACTTAATTTTGAGCTTCTATTTCCAAATATGAAGAAGAAGAAGCACAATGGATCTGCCATATCCACAGAATTGCTTTCAAGACCATACAAGATAACATTCCAGTTATGAGGGTAGCTTTGGGGCCTAAATAAATACAGACTTTTCCTTAAGATATGATAAAAAGGGATCATCATCAGAGAGGATAATTGTAAGTGAATATATAAATGGTAAGTATGGATAAGAAGAAAGTACAGTAAAAGTAGTAACATAGGGATAAGAAAAATTGAGAAGTAAAAATGAAATACAAAACTGCAAGGCACATGGTAGGGCAGGTGTTGGCAGAGTGTTAGGAGGTGCCTCAACAGGTCTAAGGCAAATAATTAGGGGCAATATTATTAAGACATGGTGTCTGCTATGCAATTTTTACCACAATGCCTCATATCTTATAGCTGTTTGATAATTTTGCATATGAAATTTGGTATTTTATATTATTTTAAATGACTAACTATTTTCAGGGTTAATATTGTAGGTACTTGTCTTTTGATCTAATCATAAGGAAGGATCCTGATTATGTTGCTGCTGTGGTTTGAGAGCTGCTTGTCTGTCTTGGGGCTTGGCTTCCACAAAACATACCAAAGAGATCAATAATCTCTACCTACCTGAGAGTCTGGGGTAGGGTAAAAGGAGAATCATTTGATGTAGAAGGATCATGTGCTTAAGGATGTGGAGTCCAACTTCCCAATATTGTTTGAAAAAATGGTTTTAACCCTATATAAAAATGTACCGTTAACACTGGACTTAAGGGTCATGAAGGTATCAGATAATCATAACTTCAAAACAGAATCTAGCTGGATATTCTGCTCCATTATATATCTTTTTGCTATGTCATTAAACATTCTGTATCACGGTGTTTATCCAACTGCGCAACAATCAATAGCACATGAAGCTTTCCACCCACTTTAATATTTCTTACATTGACTTTTATTGACCAGTGGTAGAACTTCAAAATAAACAATTTTTTTGGACTTGTTTTATGTGGCTATGAGAAATTAAAAGAGAACCAAAGTTGACTCAAAGTCTGAGAGGAAAAAAATATAAAGCTCAGGATTTTTAAATATACTCAATGCAACAGATAATTTTCATTAACTACTCTGTGCTTAATTTTGCCTTTGTTGCCTTAAGGAAGGTAATAATGATAGATTATTCCATTCAAAATAACTCAGCAAATTTTTATTAAAGTAATGCTAACTTTGCGCTAGGTACTCATTTAGGTATGTGAGACACAGAGATGAGTAAAAAACAATTCTTGTGTTTAAGAAGAATATAGTATATTTGCAATAAATGCATGTATGTAGTGATTGTTATAACATAGTTGAAAAATACTTATCACCATATCAGATCTGTTAAGTGCCATTAGAGAAGGGAAACCAAGCATTAATGGTTTGTAAAGAAGGACAATTAACTTCAGTGAGGCAATCATCAAATCAAATAGATTATGAAGATAGGAATTAGGGGTAAGTGGGGGGGGGATGAGAGTGAGAGACAGGTGTTTCCCATCAAATGCACAGCTTTTCTGAAAGTAAGGGACATTTAGCAAATGTATTAGTTAGGGTTATATAGAGAAACAGACCAATAGGAGAAAGAAATTGCAAACACACACACACACACACACACACACACACACACACACACACACACGCACACATGCAGAGAGAGAGAGAGAGAGAAAGAGACTGATTTTAGGGAGTTTTCTCATGTAATTATAGAGGCAAAATCCCACAATCTGTTGTCTGCAAGCTGGAGAACTAGAAGAGCCAGGGGTGTTGTTCTAATACCAGTTCAAAGGCCTGAGAATCAGAAGAACCAATGATGCAAATGCCACTTCGGGTGCAGAAGACTGATGTCCGAACTTGAAAATAAGCAGAGAGAGTGAAGTCCCTCTTCTTTTACTTTTTCTTCTATTCAGGCCTCCAGTGGATTGGATGAAGCCCATCCACACTGTGGAGGACAATCTGCTTTACTCAGTCTAATGATTCAAATGTTATTCTCATCCAGAAACACCCTCACAGACAACCCAGAATAATGTTAACCTAGTATCTGGGCACTCTGTCACCCAGTCCATTTGACACATAAAATTAACTTACACAGGAGATAAATTGGAGACATGTAGGAAGCAGATTTAAAGATTTTGCCTGCTTAAGCAGAGACTATTAGTGCCCTGCCAATAATCCCCTAGAAATTATGTCTACATGCCTAGACTGCTTACTGAGTACACTTGTGATTCTACAGCTGAATGATTTTATTCTAACCAATGGAAACACTGCAAACAGGACAAGCCAGAAGCCCCAGGCAGCTGGGGTCCCGGGACCAGTTCTCGTCCAATGACGGGCAGTGAGAAGTATCTCAGTGGCAGAGGCTTGAGCAGTACACCTATTCATCATCGTGATGGAGTGGTAGAAATGGCCCAGGTCAAGAGAGAGACAAACTTCCGTCCACTGTCTTTGCTAATTATTTATTGTCTTAGAAGTAATATGAATAGAAAATGACAGACAAAGAGGTCCAGGAAAGAAGCATGTGATTGGACCTATAGGAATGGACAAACAGTGTGTAAATCTTTACTTCTCATGGCAATGCCCACCAAAAAATACCCAGTACAGAGAAGGCATTGAATGACTATTTGAACAAAATTGCTGGGCCAGTGGATTTTAGCCACTCTCTGGCTCTGATCACGCAAGGGCTTTCACTATTGGGCTTGTTAAAACAGTAGCCATGGTGAGAAAGTGGAGGCTATGCATGATTCAATATCACAGGCTCCCTTTAACCAGCACAGAAGTAGCTAGTGAATGTTCAAAGTGTTAGCAGCATAAACTGATGTTCATCTCTGGATGCTGTACTGTTCTCTAAGAGATCCACCACTGGCAAGTTGATTATTTTTACCATTTCCACTTTGGAAGGTATAATTCTTTCCAGTGATTTTCCTCATTGGAAACATGTATCTATGAGACCGAATGCATGGAGATTGCCAAAGTTACTCTGGCCTGAGTTCTCAAAAAATATCTGAATTATTGTCATGTTTCATTTCCACTTTATAGCAAAGGAAGTGAGACAATATTTAAATAATCATGTGGTGTACAGTTCTACCATACACCACAGAACCCAAAAACTTCCAGCATGACGAAATATGGAAATGACCTTAAAGGCATAACTTACTTGCCACCTTGGTCATCATGCCCTGTGGAATAGGGATTTTAATAAATGTTGCTTTCATCCTGATAGTTAGAATTCATGGGTGAGGGAACCGAGGGTAAAAACTCGGAATGACATATTTTATCACCATTCTCAGTGAACCATTTAGAAATGTTTGCTTCTCATCCTTGAAGTTTTAGATGGACTAGAATTTCTGATTTCTCTATGAGGGAGCAGACACAACCAGTGTTCCAGTAAATGTAAGTCTATGACTATACCTGGTTAGCTCTTCAAGCTAACAGGCAAGGGGATAGGTCAATGGGCTGGCAGGGTTAATTGACCCTGATTATCACTAGGCACATAACAAAATGTGACTGAGCTCAAGGATTTTGAAAAGACCGTTTTGGTGCTTTTGTGGCCAGTGTTAAACTTGGGTAGAAGCACCCTTACGCAAAAGACGTTCTGGCCAAGGGTATTGAAAATTCTCTGTTGTTTTAAGCCCTTTGTTTTTTTATTTTATTTAGAAATTGTTATAGGCCAGTCTCTTGAAAAATCAGATACAGGTCAGAGTGGAAAAAATGTGAAGCACCAGTGGGCCATGCAAAGAGTAAACTGTACAAATGTTATTAGTGCCCTCCTGACATCCCTTCAGTAGTTACTTCTACGTGCCAAAAGCTGTTTGCTGCAACTCTCTGCCTGTAAGATACTTTTTGTCTCTCCAGGAAAGCTTGTTTCTCCATAACTCAGTGTAATTTTGGTAAAATAGTCTATTCCCCAACCACAAGGTTAATTTTATTATTCTCCTATAGTGAGTGAATTATTCTCCTACCAGAAAGACTGATCCGCGGATAGGCCAAGACACATAACCCAAATATAAAAGTTTTCCTTTGTATCCAACTTTAAATATTCCTTGAACTAACCAAATATCAATTTAATACTATTGCAGAGAAATCTATGAACCCAGCCATAGTTGATATTTAGAATCTTTTTCTGCTCAGTACATCAATTTCTATCAGGCTTTACCAGCACCACACCACCCATCTCATATGGTTATGGCTAGCCTCTGAATGACAGCAGTGGGCATAGGACTGGGAGTTAATCCCATCATGGTATTCCAATATTTTATCTTTAGTAATTGGTTCAAATGATAATCACATAAACTAAGATGGGACAATTACAGCTTCCACCAAGATTTCAAATGTAGATGCTGGAGAGACAAAATATCGCTGCCTTGTGGATTGTAGGCTGTAAGCACCAAGATCTGAGTAAGCTTCTTTGAGATCTTGTCTAAGGCATGAAAGAATGAGGCCATCAAGAGGAGAAATGCAAATACAAATAGAACCACAGGATGGATACGCTGATATTATTGTTTAAACTTCTGGATTTAGTCAGGCTTAAATGCAAACATCTCCACCCGTAGACTTTACAGCTGTATGAGCCAATAAATTCCTTTCTACTTAAAAATAAATAAATAAATAAATAAAATAAACAAAACAGATTCTTCCCCCAAATGCATGATATTAGGCCTCAGCAGAAGGTGGGCGATGTAGAGATGCAGGTTGGAGAGTGTGGTAGTCTTGAGGATGATAGCATGCTTTAATAATTTGAAATTATATGTGTATAGACAGTAACAACTCACTTTCTCCGATTTGTTTTAGTTTTGTTTCTGTGGGTTATAACTGGAAAAAAATAATGATTCTACATTTTAAATTGATAAAAAAATATAAATTAAACACACCTCCTTCAAATAATTTGCCCTCATTCCGTTCTACAGAAACCGCTACATGGCTGTGAGGTTTTGTAGCATTCACATTTAAAATATCCTGTGGTTGTTTTATGTTTTGTTGTCATTTTGTACATTTTGCTTTCCCATTTAAATTATAAGCACCATGGAAAGCCCTACATCCTTAAATATAATCCAGGTAATTAGAAAAGAGTGCTAGAAATATCGACTAGATGTCCCCCAACATAACTGTAAACGAACAAATATTCTGGTTTATGTATCACCTTCTTGTGAATTTGGTGTCAATAAACTCCAAAGTCTGGGAACCCTGTTTATATATTTTAGTTTGTGGACTGGCAAACATGAAGACAAGGTCCCTAGTGTTTCAAAGACAATGCCATCCTTCGAGACTCAGTGTGATTATTATCATCATTTATAATAGTTTACAATTAGATATGTAAGAAACATGCTTTTAGAACTTGCATTTCCTTCCCATTATTAAACTTGGGCTGTAGTGGTGGCATATTTGAGCAATGGTCAGGACCTACACATATCATCTATAGAAGTAGAAAAGGCTGGTGAACATTAGGGAAAATTATTATAATTTATAGATATATTTCTCAATATTACAGTAGAATTGGAAATAGGAATAGACTCATAGCAAAACTCACCTTCATGATTATTGTAATATAGGCTGATGTTCTTTATAGAAGAACTTATCTCACAAAAACAGCAAGCCAGAAAAAAATAAATTGTTTAGGGAATAGGAATTTTCTGTAAAAACGTTGCTTTAATAATAAAAAAAAAAATGCATAGCAAGTATACCCTATATTTTTACTGCCAAAATATTCTAATCAATTAAACTAAATCTGGAAGAGTTTTCCCATCTATTAGTGCAAAACAATAACAATAAAAAAACAATAAAATGACTTTAACCCTTTACAAGCACTATTTGAATTAAACACTTATTTTTTCTTTTACAAAATAATCATTTTTGTTTACCAAAAACACCATTTGTACTGGTCTATTGTATGTATTTAATAACATTTCCAGATGTATAATAGAGTAGGTGATAGTAACTTGAAAAATAGTATCTACTAGGCCGGGCTCGGTGGCTCACGCCTGTAATCCTAGCAGTTTGGGAGGCCGAGGTGGGCAGATCACGAGATCAGGAGATCGAGACCATCCTGGCTAACACGGTGAAACCCCGCCTCCACTGAAAATACAAAAAATTAGCCGGGCGTGGTGGCGGGCGCCTATGGTCCCAGCTACTCGGGAGGCTGAGGCAGGAGAATGGCGTGAACCTGAGAGGCGGAGTTTGCAGTGAGCCCAGATCACGCCACTGCACTCCAGCCTGGGGGACAGAGCGAGGCTCCATCTCAAAAAAAAAAAAAAAAGAAAAAAAAAAAACAGTATCTACTATTATACTAACTTGAAAAATAGACATTTTTGTTTATATTTAAAATTCTTATTTAAAAATAAACCACCATGAGACCCAGGTTTTTACAAAATAGAATGAAAGTTTCTGTATACTTTAAATTTCTAGTATTATTGGTTTCAGTCTCTCATCTAAACAGATATAAATAGGCACTTTAGAGAGGAAGTCAAGGATGTTTTTGACCTATAGTTCCCATTTTTTCAAGTTAATGCTAATGCAATCATCCTAACACATAGACCCAGCACTGTATGATTGATAAGTCTCAAGTAAGGGTTATATTAAAAACATATATTTTTATCTCTCACTAATTCTGCACAAAATGATTCCCTGTGGTGGCAAAATTTACCCACTTGACTTCTTGGCTCAAAAAATAATATTCAGCAGTGGACCTAACAATGAGTTCCAAACTATTAATATATTTGAGCAGACTTAACAAACATGTGCTGCCAATAATCACTCAAAATATTAGCCAACTTGATTATATGCTAAAGCTTACGATGTAAAATAAAAAGTATACCAAATACATTTAAAAATATTGTGCAAAAGAGGCTTAATTGTTTACCATTGAACTCAGAAACGTGACTTATAGCTGTTTAACACTTCAGCGGCTTTATTAATTGATCTCTATATTACCCAATGCTCATCATTCTTTTCTTAGAAATTCATAATAATGATTTCCCACTTAAAGGAGGAAGATTGTATATAACCCGAAGGCATGTTGGAAATTGTCATATCGGATGTTATTGGTTGTGTGTATTTTAGAGCACAATTTAAGGATACAGTAAATGCTACCATAAATGGATTTATGATTTCCACTTAGCTATTTTCAACCACCACTTTATTGTATAATCAGGGTTTATCGTGCTACTCTATATTCAGTTCTCCTTACCTTCCAGGTATAAGGGAGTTACACACTCTCAGCTCCCTTGCTGTTAGACAGAGATATAACATGAAATGGACCAGTAGATTGAGAGTGAAAGTGGAATGGGTCATTATAGCCTGAAGCATTTTCGTCTCTTCTTCTGCCATGGCAATGATGAAATTGGATGTTAATATGGAGGTTGCAGGAGATCAAAGCCCTCATGAATTATTGAGCCCTTGCTTGGGGTGCAGATACCTTAGAGAATCTCTCTCACCCACAGTGACCATAGCTTAAGCAATAAATAAATTTTGATTATGTCAAGTCACTGAGATTCTGGTGTTTGCAACTGCAGCATAGCCTGAGAATCCTGGCTTATGCCAGAATTTTATCTCCCCATATTAACATTGCAAATGAACTGAGAATTTAGAGAATCACTCAGTAAGTGTAAGGGGATCCCAAATACACTGGACTCCACTTAGAAAGTGGATGCAGAGCTGATATCATTGAGGAAGACTGTTTAATACTGTTCTTTGGAAGCAAAAATGAAAAGGGAAAATGTTGATTTTCTCACATTTGTTCAGTATTGAACACAAAACTACCTTCAGTATCCTGGAATCATTCATAAAATGTATAACTCAAAATTCTTGTTTAAAGTGATTAATATTAGTTATAATAACTAAGATTTGAAGGAATTTCTATGACATCAACTGTAATAACCCTGCTGAGAATTGTTACCTGTGTCTATTTTTGGAGCAAATACAGAACTGTATTTTTCTCTTCATATATGAGATTTTGCTTTTATGAAATATGGAAATAATTTTAGAATGTGCATATATATGGAAAGTAGATATCAGTTTATTATAAAACATGGGTAATAAATGTCCTTTTTATTATAGATGGGACTTTTATTGTGTTGGTTTTACCTGGAATAAAGTAAATCATAAGACTGGGCAAAGTTCAAAATGATCCAGAGTAAAAGAAATAGTACTTTCTTTGTGTCAACTTCAGGCAAGGCAAGTAGGGCAGATCAAAGAACTGCTTTAATGATTCACTAAAGCTGAAGTTCAGATAAAACCACAGCAGCAGCCAAAGTACCTGGAAATGCAAAAAATTGTGAGCAAGGCATATGTCTTTCTGAGAAAAGGTCCAGGAAGAACATAAATCTGCAAGGGAGATTATCTCATAGCACGATTGTCAGCAAATAGCGACTCTGAATGAGACAGAAGCAAGGTCAGGGTTTAAATAAATGCTGTGGTTGTACAATAGCCGCAGTAGGCTTTTTTCCAAGTCCTAGTTCTATTGTCATTTTGGGATAAATCTTGACTTTGAGAGCTATCTTCTCAATTGTAGAATGAAGAATTGGCTTTCAAGTAATTTTCCATAGAAAATATTTTATTCTGCTTCATATTTATGGCAGTGCTAAGGGCCAGCCTCAGCTATAGATTCTGTTCTGTTTTATGTAATTAATCTACTTCAAGATGTTCTGAGAGAAAGCACGTGTCTGACACAAAGCTGAATAAAAGAGTTCCTGCCCTCAAGTGGCTCACATGTCAAAAGCCATGCAAACCTCAGCACCAGATATCATGGTGAAGATCTAGACTTGATACTGCATTTGTCGACTGACATACTTGCTGTCTAAAAAAAAAAAATTTACGAAGCACCATTGTCTAGGGTGACGGGCCTTTTCTGCTCACTCATGATCCAAAGAACAGATGGACTTTAATGGATTTAATGCCCAAATAAGCAGTTTTTTCCCAAGCACTTAATGCCCAAATGAGTAGATTTTTTAAAATGCAACTAATAAAAACAGATAACCCTCAGAGTACTCTTGCACCACTAAGCTTGTTTAGGGAGTGGAGCAGAACCTAAATAGTGCAGCAAATTAATTGGAGGCAGAAGTCCTTGCTTCTAAGCTCTAGTTAATAATAATAATAATTAAACTTAATGACTACCTGTGTGATCTTAGTCAACTCCAGTTTTTAGGACCTCAGGTCTTTCCTCATTTATAAAATAAAGAGATGTGGTCATTGGACATGCTGATCATTAAGGTCCTACGAGTTTAACAACTTCATCATTTCCAAAGTAGCATTACACGTTAGACAAAAAATAGCATGGCAACTTACTGAAATGGAGAAGAATTTAGTAAAAGTACCTTTATTTCTTTTTAACAATAATTACTTATCTGGATGTTTAAAAAATACCAAATGAAAAATAAGAATAAATTTCAAGCTTTTATTAAGTGAAATGTGGAAATTACAGAAATTGGGAAAACAGTAAAATATACTCATAGGATTACAAATTTATATGGAGAGATAAAATCCTATTTTATACCCTTGGGGTTCTCTTCTAGTTGATATGTATTTAGCAATGCACATGGCACAGATGAATCACAGTAAATAATATTCCTCTTAAAAAGTTTTTGCTCAGTCATAAAATACATACAGTGAAAAATTTCCTCCCTTGGAGGCAAGCATTCAAAGATATAATTAATTTCTGCACTTTTGTGGAGGAGGAAAAAATAAATGAAAGTATAAATGTTTCCTACTGAGTATGAGACGAAAGGTCTCAGAGGTGTACCAAGAAGGGTTAATTTATAGACATCAAAAAATTTAATATTTTTATTAGGAATTCATCCCCAAATCTTTGGGCTCATTTTTCATATAACTAAAGAGCAAATAAGTATAATAGGTTAGAATATAAAATATCAAAGCTGATACATATAGTATGAATATACGTAAAAAATACATCTCAAACCTCATAAACGGATACAGAAAGTGCAAGTCATCTTTATTGCCCTGTGCTGAAGGTAACTATCATAAATTTGGCACTATAGCGATAAACTTGAAAATAAAAGTCCCTTCCTTTAAAATAAAATAATTTATCTAAAGACGGTATAAAATGCTTTATATTTAAGCTAGGGGAGATAATATGGTTTCTATTGCTCTAAGAAAAGATATGACATTACTGACTAGCACCTTGTATGTTGCCCGATTATATTTAAATAACCAGGAAATACTGGCCTTTGAAATACTGCACAAAATGATAGGACCCTGACTAGCTTTCAAATTTTAATGTTTTGTCTGCTGAACTGAGCCCCATTTCTGCAAATTGCTACCAACCCTTACTGCCTTACAGTGACAATTAGAGTCATCTATAAACATGGCTGATTTTCCAAGGAACTATTATTGACCTTACGTTGTAGATTTTATCATATGCACCAGTCTGAGGTTGGGGTTATGAGAATTGATGTGACTTTATATTTAAGAAATTTTGAGACCCTTCAAAACAAAATGTACTAAAAAATTACAAATTCTTTTTATCCTCACACTGGGAGGAGCTGACAGGAGACATCACTCACCTTTTTCCTGGTGAGAAATTGTTCATCCCTCTGGGCACTCTGAACAGGTAGATGTATTAGATCACCTGCAGTCTAGTCCACTAACTGTATTAGAGGATGTCAGCATGAGATAATTTTCAGAAAGACTTTCTCCAGTGACTTAGAGTAGAGGAAATGACAATGACTCTGAGAGACAAAGAAAGCAGGACTTAGTGAATGAAAGTAGATATATGCAAAATAACTAAGTCTGCAAATGAACTATTTGTAAGTAATTTATAATAATAAAAATAGATACTTTGTGTTAAAAAATTGTACTGTAATACACACTATACATATGTATGTTTGTGTGTTTATATATGTGTATGGATATATATATATATATATATATATATATATATATATATATATATATATATATAATCTCCTCTGTTTTTTACCTGCTAGAAACTTGGGGCTCAAAGAGTTCAAGGTCTTTTACAAGGCTCCACAGTTAATAAGTGACAGATCTGTACTTCAAACCACCATCAAATTCTGCTATCTGGGCTGCTAGCCTCAGTAGAGGATATGCCAATGAGAAGGAAAATTTATTGGTTATTGAAGCATAGATGTTACACAGGTTTTGAAAACAGATCTGGATTCACATCTTGGACCAGCCATAAATTAGCTGAGTAGTCTTACAAGGGAAAATAGTGGTTCCAGATAATTAGTGCACTGCCTGGCACTCACAATAAATAGAAAAAAAGTTGTAGTTACTGAAGCCCCTCCAAACACTCTCATAGGAAAAAAGAAGCCTTTGCCTATGAAATACAAATTTTTATATTCCTCTGGGTATATACTCAGTAATGGGATTGCATCAATGTTCGTTGCTGCACTATTCACAATACCAAAGATATGGAATCAACCCAAATGCCCATCAATGATAGATTGGATAAAACAAACATGGTATGTGTAGACCATGGAATACCACGCAGCCATAAAAAAGAATGATACTGGCTGGGCACGGTGGCTCACACCTGTAATCCCGGCACTTTGGGAGGCCGAGATGGGCAGATCAAGAGGTCAAGAGATTGACAGCCTGGCCAACATGGCGAAACCCCATCTCTACTAAAAATACAAAAATTAGCTGGGCATGGTGGCGCACGCCTGTATTTCCAGCTACCTGGGAGGCTGAGACAGGAGAATCACTTCAACCAGGGAGGCAGAGGTTGCAGTGAGCCGAGACTGTGCCACTGCACTGCAGCCTGGCAACAGAGCGCTTTTGTGGGAGCATGGATGGAGCTGGAAGCTATTATCCTTAGCAAACCAATGCAGAAACAGAAAATCAAATACCACATGTTCTCACTTATAAGTGGGAGCTAAATCATAAGAACTTAAGAACACAAAGAAGGAAACAACAGACACTGGGGTCTACTTGAGGTGGAAGTGTGGGAAGGTGGGAGGAGGGAGAGAAGCAGAAAAGATAGGTACAGGGCTTAATACCTGGGTGATGAAATAATATGTACAACAAACCTTTGTGACACAAGTTTACCTATATAACAAACCCTCATGTGTACCCCCAAACCTAAAATAAAAGTTAAAAAAAATGAAATTTGAATTTTTCCTTTGATTAAACAAAAGACAAAACACAACTATTTGATTGTGAAAGCAAATGGATCAACTTATGTTATCCTAATGTTCTCTGGAGATTCTGCTGTCTCCAAACAGGCTTCTAATTTTAATTGGCTGCTTGTATAGTTGTACCTATGGGAAAAGGTTATGATGTCCATATTTACATAAGCATACAAGCCCACATGAGAGTTATTTTTCGTTCTTTGCTTTTTTTTTTTTTTTCTTCGAGACAGATTCTTGCTCTGTTGCCCAGGCTGGAGTGCAGTGGCACGATCTTGGCTCACTGCAACCTCCGCCTCCTGGGCGCAAGCGATTCTCCTGACTCAGCCTCCTGAGTAGCTGGGATTACACGTGCCTGCCAGCATGCCCGGCTAATTTTTGTATTTTTAGCAGAGACGGGGTTTCACCATGTTGGTCAGGCTGGTGTTGAACTCCTGACCTCGTGAATCGCCCACTTTGGCCTCCCAAAGTGCTGGGATTACAGGTGTGAGCCACTGCGCCCGGCCAAGAGTTATTTTTCGTTACAAATAAGTCAATTAATTTGGTGTTTACATATCAGTATTTTGAGCCCAACTAAAGAAGAGTGAGGGGGTTCTTTGAGAAGCCAAGCTCTCCTTACTTAGGGTGCTGTCCAAAGTAGGATTTTCAGCTCTGCTATGATAAGGAATGCCACCCAGTGGGATTCCTTGAGGAAGAGCCAGCCTTCTTTTGCCCACATATTCCCTCTCCAGCCTTACCTCCATCCATTCCTCAATTCTGGATTTCTCCTTCAGCTTGTGAACACATCCCAAGCATTGTCTGCTCCAAGATAATGTCTTAGACCTCTTATTCGGGTTATATAGCCTACTCCCATGTGACTTCAGTCACTTTGTGCATAGAGCTATTACAGCATTTGCCAGCTACCATTATATTTCAGTATCTGACACCATTGTCAGCTCCTTCAACAGGTACTCACTTATTTCGCCTTGATTTCAGAACTATACTTTGTCACTTAGTTGGAGACCTCAAAAAATTGTTCGTATATTGTTAATTTAAATCCCCTAGATCCTGGCATAAAATTTTAGACATCTTGCTCATAGCAGAATCCCTAGGGCCTGGCAATTTATTGAATTATTAATAAATATTTATTCAATAAATAAAAGATGACATTTATGGTTGTATCAAAATATTAATGAGTATTTTTTAAATCCATAACCCTTTGTTCAACGTGGTCAGCATTCTCTGTCCTGAGTTATTATTAGAACAAAATACTATTTAAATATATTGCTTCTTATAGCCCTTCCCTAGTGAAAAGCAACACATTCATTTTTTAAAACAATGAAACATACGCAAGTCTTTTGCAGAGTTATAACAAAATCAACATCACTGAATGATAGAAATGGAAAATCAGAACTGAATACAGGGACAGCAGATTAAACAAAAATATGGTAAGATGCCCAGACAAATCTCAATTTATGGCAACAGAAATGGACTGACAATTAGATTCCTGAATCACATCTTTGAGTAGATCTGTTTTTCTTTCTCATGAGTATGTCAGTGGCATGAGGGAGAGGGTGTGAATAGGTTGGTTTGCACTCTCTGGAGTGAGACTGCTGAATTATGTAGGAGGTCTGTTATGAAGTAATTGTTTGTAAATGCAGAGAACACAAGTGAGTGTGTTGTGAGCATATGTAAATACAAATGTGGATAAAAGGCATTGCTAATATCTACAGAAGGGAAAATAATTAGCAAATTCATAAGGGTCACTCATAATTCTAATGTTAAGAATAATCCTTTGTTTCTTTTAAGATATTCCCCTAATGCATTTATGATGCATATTCCCTGATAAATGACAATGTGTTTTAATTTATAATGCAGTTAAGAAAGTAAGTGAACATTGTAAATGTTGGGAGGGCTTCCAAAGTAGACGATGTTTGGCGGCAGCCTTTGCTGCTTATACATGGTTGAATGGTGCCTTAGGGTTCACTGTCCTGAGCTACTGCTGCTCAGGCTTTTTCTCATAATATTATTAAATCTTGCAGTGGCCAGTGTTGTGAGAACCTTACAACGTGGGCTGACTCAACTCGAGCTCGTCATCTCAGTTCAGAAATTTCTAACATACACTTCAAGCTTTTCTGCCAGGTGAATATCATGTGATGGGCCACCGCTCAGTGCTCCCCAGCCCCATCTCTTAAAGAAAAGGCATCTGGCTGCCCAAGTGGTCTTAACAATTCCATTTTATTGCCCCTTCCCTTTCTATATCTGTTGGCCTCCAGGAGGATTTCTCTTGTGAATTTGTAGGAACGTGTCACATAGACTTTTGGGATTTTTGGGAAGCTGAGCAAGTCAGATTTTAAAGTTCACAGGTTTCAGCTACCTACTTTAAAAAATATTAGCCGTCACTGCCAACCTTTCTCGCACAGAACACTTAGCGCCTATGTAAACATCTGCCACATATACTGTGATATCATTGATTAGCTGTCCATCATATTCCATGCATTGTGCTAAGCTATGTATACAAATGACCTTTCCTAACCCAGATGACTGAGCTTGTGGTGGATACTGTTATTAGTCCCATTTTATATATGTGAAAATACACTTACAGATATTGAGACAGTAGCTCCCAGTTGAGTTGGCATTTTTGAGATTTGGATCTAGGCTACTTGATTCAAGATCCTAGTGTCTAAACTATCATGCTATAAGATTCCTTTTATTTAGTCCGGTGACCATTATGAATGTTTTCACATGATGCTTATTTATTACGTAATTTGCACGATTTGGAGACAGGCTCAATCATTAATGTAATTGGCTCATATACAAAGTTGGTGATTTTTTTAAGAAATAGTTTTAAGTATAAAATGTGATTTTTTTCTACTCCATTTCATGCTGTGATTGTTGGCTATCTTACATAAATACACATGCAAACACAGACATATGCCAACTATTTTTTTGAGGAAAAAAAGCTAGTTGTAAATCATCATTAATTTGTGCCTATATCATTTTTCCTTTCTTCCTGAATATACCAGTGTTTATTTCCTAAAAACAAGAACGTTATTTTACGGACCACTGTATAGTTACCAAAATCAGCAAATTTTATATGGATACAATATTATTATCTAAATCCATAGTCTACATTCTGATTTTTCCAATTTTCTTAATAATGTTGTTAATATCTGTTTTTTTTTTCCTGAATTCAGGATCACACATTTAGATATTGATATGGGTTGGCTGTTTCCCCACCCAAATCTCATCTTGAATTGTAAAGCCCATAATTCTCATGGGTTGTGGAAGGGACCCACTGGGAGATAATTGAATCATGAGGTGGTTTCTCCCATACTGTTCTTGTGGTAATGAATAAGTCTCACGAGATTTGATGATTTTATAAGGGGTTTCTCCTTTCACTTAGCTCTCATTCTGTCTTGTCTGACGCCATGTAAGACATGCCTTTTGCTTTCCACCATGATTGTGAGGCCGCCCTAGCCATGTGGCACTGTGAGTCCATTAAACCTTTTTTGCTTTATAAATTACCAGATCCTGGGCATGCCTTTATCAGCAACGTGAAAACAGACTAGTGCAGATATAATGTTTCATTGATCTCCTTTAATCTAGTCTAGTTCCTCAGCTTTTTTGTCTTCGTTGGCCTTGATGTATTTGAAGTGTACAGGCGAGCTTATTTGTTAAACTTTTTTCAGTTTGAGTCTGTTCCATGTTTCCTTGTTATTAGAATTAGGCTGTGCACTTTCAGCAGGAATAACATTGAAGTGATATTATGTCCTGTTCAGAGCATCATATCAGCAAGCATATGATATTGGTCTATTACAACATTGGTGAGGTTAATATCGATCATGATATCAAATGATCTGTTTTCTACTGTAAAGTTTACTATTTTTCATTATGGAACTAAGTAGTTTGTGGAGAGATATTTTAAACTGTGTAAATATTCTTTTCCTTATCAGATTTTCATCCAATAGTTTTAACATCCATTTCTGTTTTTCTAACTCCATCATTCTAGTGAGGATTACTTAGGATTCTACTTAAGAAATAGCTTTGTCTTCAGCATTTATTTCTTTATTCTTTTATTTTTTATATTGGTATGTGCTTTTATGATTCTTTGTTTGTTAAATTCATTACTATCACAGTTTTTCTCAATGTTCAAATTATCCTAGAATTGAACAATAGTAGACCCTTCAAAATGACTTGTTTATTTTCCATGATTCTCTGTGATTTTTGGAGCATTTTCTTACTTTTTTTTTCTTTTGAATGTATATGATTTTTTTTGCTCAGGTGACAGAAAATGAATAATAATGGGAAATATCAACATAAGTCTTGAAAATTACTTTATTCTACTGGGTCTTTCTAATTGACCTCCTCTGGAAATAGTTATTTTTGTAGTTCTCTTGATATTCTGCTTCATGACACTGATAGGCAAGCTGTTCAGCATCATTCTGTCATACCTGGACTCCCATCCCCACACTCTCGGTACTTATTCTCTTTTCTGGATTTCTGCTACACCATCAGTTCCATCTTTTAATTACAGTACAATCTCTGGGGCCCACAGAAGAACATCTCTTATGCCAGTGGTATGATTCAAATTTATTTTGTTCTCACACTGGGAACCATGGATTGCGCTCTACTGGTGGTGATGTCCAGGACTGTGATGCAGCTGGACACAGACACTTGCCTTATACTGTTGTTATGGCTGTGGCTTTTTGGGTAAGTAGCTTTACCAACTCAGCATTTGATTCCTTTTTTACCTTCTGGGTAACCCTGTGTGGACATCACTATTATGCTTACATCTTTATATTTACATCATTGTTAGTATAAAGATGGTTCATTAACAGAAAGAAACAGTCTGTGTTCTCACTGAATCATGCAGCTTTATTAACATTATCTTTTCCATTATAAAATGACTGCTTCCAGGAGATTGAAAAGAACATGTTAAGAAAAGCACAGCATTGGAGAATCTGAAAGCATGTGATCTTGTTCAATTAAACCAAGTATCAAAAACATGCATTTTTATGAGACTATTTTAGGAAATTCATCATTTAGAATGAGGTTAAATTATGAGGGGCAAAACAAAAATAAAAAATAATATTAACTTAAGTAAAATAAAAATTTATTTATCTCCCTCATAAAAAGAATTTCAAAGATAGGTGGTCTGAATGATAAGCCACTTGAGGTGCCTTTACTGGTTCCTTTTAACTTATCTTGGCCTTTGATTTCCCCAAAATAGATCAAGATTCTGCTTGAGCTCCATCCTTCACACTCATTCAGTATAAAGAAGGTCAACTGCTTCTTTTTTTTTCTTTTTTTTTTTTTTTTTGAGATAGAGTCTCGCTCTGTCACCCAGGCTGGAGTGCAGCGGAACAATCTCAGCTCACCGCCACCTCCGCTTCCCGGGTTTAAGTGATTCTCTGCCTCAGCCTCCCTAGTAGCTGGGGCTATAGGCACGCACCACCATGCCCAGCTAATTTTTTTTTTTAATTTTTAGTGGAGATGGGGTTTCACTGTGTTGGCCAGGATGGTCTCGATCTCTTGACCTCGTGATCCACCCGCCTCAGCCTCTCACAGTGCTGGGATTACAGGTGTGAGCCACTGCGTCTGGCCAAGAAGGTCAAACCCTTCTTTTGAAAGATTTGTCCCTGTACTTCTATGAGGAACAAATTTTATATATTTTTAAATTTTGTATATCTATATATAACATATAAATTTAAATATAAAATATTCAATACATTTTAAAATATTAAATTTATACATTTTAAAGTATTAAAATATTATATTTTAATATATGGTATATATTACATCTGTATTTTATGTATATAATATATAATATGTATATTTTAAAATATTAAAAAAGATAAATTTATATTTTATATTATATATATACACACACACACACACACACACACACAGAGTATAAGGCATTGGCTCACACTATTATGAAGGCTGGGAAGTACGAAGAACTGCAGCTCAAAATACCTGAGAACCAGGACAGCCAAAGGTATATGTGTCAGACTGAATCTTAAGGCAAGAGAGTACTGATAACCCAGTTCAAAGACCATGAGACAGAGAGAGTGAATTCTTTGTTGCCTAGAATTTTGCTCTATCCAGACCTTTATTTAACAGATGGGATGAGCTTTGCTCACATTGGTGGAGGACAGGAGCAGGAGCAATCTACTTTACTCAGTCTACAGATTCAGATGTTAATCTCAGCCATCCAGAAATATCCTCACAGACACGCCCAGAATCATGTTTAATCGAATATCTGCTCACTTCATGACCCCATCAAATGGACACATAAGAGAAACTGTCACAAGGCCCTTCTCTTTAAAGTCTATTGATCCAAACGTAGTGACAAACAATGATGGTAAATTTACCATATATCCTGGAAAGCCATATGCCTACATAAAAATCAGAACTTCTATTGATACAGAAAAATTAGAGAACACATATTGGTGTACGTTTAGCAATATCTGCCTCTGAAGAGAACTGACAGTGAAGAGTGAAAGAGAAAGGAGTTTCCAGGAAATAAAGTGGATTAAGCTTCCTGAAATATGGGAAATAATATATCATTTATAAGAATTATTATTTTCAGCATTTGTTGATATTATGGTTTGGTGAAAATTATTACGTAGACATTTTCTTTTCATTCCAGTATATTTTTTTGAAAATTTCTGTTGTACTTTGAGATATTTAATATATATGCTTTACCTTTTTTAATGTGTAAAAAACTTTAGATGTCTCATGTCATTAATTGAATTTTGAATATTCCAATGTAATTTCCCATAGACTATACATTTAAACTGCATATTTTAAATACTGAGTTTTCACTGCTACTTAGTGGTTTTAAGTATTTTTAGATAATATCTTTTGGTTTCTTAGCTTGAAGAATGAGGATATGGCTCTTTTTCACATCCCTGCACTACCTTATACACTCACACATATGCACACAAGAAGAACTGATAAATTACTTTATGTATTTGACTACAAAGAAACCAGTGTGTGTGTGTACATGTGTGTGTTTGAAATATCTCTCCTGAAATCTTTACTCCTCTTGTTCCAGTCTAAACTGGATTTTTCTCTAGTCTCCTCTTTACACCCTTTTGTGTTAAATGCCCTGATTCCTGGGTCCTTCCTAAATCTATTCCTTCGTTTTTTATGAAATATATACTTCAACAATGTTCTATAGATACTCTGTAACACAGAAAAAGGTGCACAGAGAAAGTTAATTTAAGCCCTTGCATGTTTGAAAATATTTTTATCCTTGCATTTAGTTTGCAGTGAGATTCATAGACTTCCAGGAGAGAAAAGACTTTCCCTCAGAAACTGAATCCATTGTTCAGTTCTTTTTTAGTTTCCAGTGTTGCTTGTTAGAAGTAAGAAGTCATTTTTATTCCTTTGTATAAGCCCTTTGTATGTAACCCATTTTTTTCCTTTCCAGATGCTCTTAGGACTTTTCCCAAATGTCCTGAAATTGTATAGTTATGAAGAGTAGTCATGAGTATTGATGAATCTGAGTCACATTGTGGATACTCAGTGGACCCTTTTTTTTTGTGGAAAATCTTATCCTTCTATTCTGGAAAAATTTCTTAAGTGATGCTTTCATAATATCCTCCCCATCATTGTCTCTCTCAGTGGAACTCATTAGTTGGCCTGTTAGACTGAGCTTTTGTTGTTGTTGTTGTTGTTAACCTTTTAGAATTCTATTATTTTAAAATTATTTTTTTCACCTGCAAAATTTTCTATTCATTGCTTTTCAACATTTCAATCATTTGTTTTTATTTTTGTCAAAAGATTTCACATTTCTAAAAATTTGTATTCTCTGAATACTCTCATATCATAAATGTAATATAGTATTTTTAGATTTGAAGATGAGAATTATAATTTTATATGAGTGTTTTTTATTCCCCATATGATCTCTGATGTTTTTATTTGTTCTTTTTTCTATCTTTGGATTTTCATGTGCATTTTTTTGTGTTTTGTTTTTAAGGAGCTTCTCAAATACCTGGTGATCCTTGGCTGTCCAATCAAAATAAGTAGGTCCTAACATTCTAATAGGAAGATTTATGTATGTGGTAATGGCTTGTTTAATCATGAATTTGTATTTAGGTAGGGTACAAGGTTTTTGTTGTTTTTTTTTTACCTTTTATTTTAGGTTTAGGGGTACATGGGCAGGATTGTTGTGTAGGTAAACTTCACGTTGCGGGGAATTTGTAGTTCTCTATTCTACAGGGCAGTTTCCTCAGAAAGAAATCCTCCAGTCATCTGCCAACAACAGAAAAGCATAGAGGCCAGAGTAGTGGGAGGCAGGCAGCCATGGGGGCAAGAGGACCTCCATTCAGTACACCCTCGATCGCCTGGTTCCATGTGTCCAGGGGGGTGCCTCATCTTTGACCTTAGCTGGTCAAGATGTCTCCAATTCACAGTCTCTGTAATTCAACATCTTCAGAGAATAATCCTTTTTTTTTTTTTTTTTTCCTGCAGAGCTCAAGAAAGGGCAATTGACTAGTTTGTTGGACTTGGGGAGAACATCAGGGCAGCTACCTGCTCCTAAAGACACTTTCAACAAATCTTTTGTTTTCTGTCCCACTTCACACTCTGGCTTTCAGAGATAATTTGCGACTCCAATTTTTGACACTTTCCATGGTTCTGTACCATAAATCATGATTTTTTTAAATTGTCATTACCCAAGCTGTCATGTTCTGGATTTTTCATGTATACACTCAGTTACTATTCATCTGTATGCTTTCTATATTCCAAAAATAACATTTTATGTACTAAAATCTGTTTTCTTTGATTTTTTGCTTATATATATTCAAAAATAACTTAATGTCACTTTAGTTGGGTTTTCAGAGAGACCAGAAATGCCTGTTGCCTATGCACCATTTATAAAATTGAAAATCTTCACTTAGTTTCCAGTAATATATTTTATATTTGTTGTATTCTATTAAAAGTGCTCTTGTGAAGTCACCAATAACCACTGTTGTGCCAGAAACAATGTAATCCTTCCAGTGACATTGATCTTGATGACCACAAATCACTTAAAAAATGTCACTCCCTGACTTCTCTGTCTTTAAGAACCTCCCATTCTCTGACCCTTTCTTAGTCTCAAATTGTTCTCAATCTCCTTGTACTCTAGTGTTTTTTTGCCTTCCTGCCAGTCTTGGTGTCCACTGAGATTCTGATTTTATTCGATCCTAATCTTATCCTACATAATGAGTTATTCTATTTCTCTGATTATTTTCACTACCAATTGCATCATGGTGACCCACAATCTGAATCTCTATCCCTGACTGAATTCCTGATCTTCAGACACATATGCCCCTCTAATGTGCAGATATTTCAATCCTGCAAACAGCTTAATTTGGATGTCCTAAAATAATCTCAAAGTAAAGCTAATAACAAACTCATCATCACCTACAGCATGCATGTTTTTTTCCCGTGGGTGTCGCAATTTAGTAGATGACTGTATTCAGTAATTCAAGTATTTCAGAAAAGGAAATTACTCAAGAGTTTCCCCTTTCTCTCTTATTTATCATGTCCACTAGATTATTTACAACTTAATTTTTGATTTACTTCAGATTTTACTTCTCACTTGAGCCTATTACTTCAGCTCAACCTTTTAGGTTTATCTGATATTATCTCTTTCTCTTTGAAACCACCTCAATTAATGCTTTCAGAATGAACTATCTAAGATTTAAATTTGGGAATTTAGTTGTTCTAGCATAAATGCTTCAGTGCTAACTGCTACTTTTACTTTAAAGACCACACTGCTTAGAGTAGGATGCAAGAGCCATCATTACTAGCCATTATCTCCCCAAATACTCTCATCTCCCCAAATTCTTCCAGCTTAACCCTAGTGGATAAAAACACACTTGTAGATTTCTGTAAACTTGATACTGTCTTATATTTCAGTGGGTGTATTTTTATACCTTATTTTTTTAAACCTTTCAGATTTTTTTTCAACTTTAAATTCAGGGGTACATGCGCACGTTTGTTACCTGTGTGTATTGCATGATTCTGAGGTTTGGGTTGAGAATGATTCCATCAATGAAGTTTGGTATTATATTGGCTGTGGGTTTGTCATAGATGACTCTTATTTGAGATATGATCCTTTCATGCTGAATTTCTTGAGTGTTTTTATCATGAAGGGATGTTGGATTTCATCGAAAGCTTCCCATGTCTATTGAGATAGTCATATCATTTTTGCTTTTAATTCTGTTGATGTGGTGGATTATATTTATTGATTTGTATATTTTGAACCAACTTACGTCCCAGAAATGAAGCCGACTGGATCATGGTGAATTAACTTTTTGATGTGCTATTGGATTCAGCTTGTTAGGATTTTATTGAGGGTTTTTACACCTATATTTATTACAGATATTGGCCTGTAATTTTCCTTTTTCACTGTGTCTTTGCCAGCTTTTGTTATCAGTGTGATGCTGGCTGGCTTCACAGAATAAATTAGGAAAAAATTTGTCTTCCTTGATTTTTTGCAATAATTTCAGTAGAATTGATACCAGCTTTTCTTTGTAATCTGGTAGAATTTCGCTGTGACAGCTGGGCAGGGTGGCTCATGCCTGTAATCCCAGCACTTTGGGAGGTTTAGGTCAGCCTATCACTTGAGGCCCAGTGTTTGAGACCAGCCCGGTCAACATGGCAAAACCCTATCTCTAATAAAAGTATAAAAGTGATTCAGGTGTGGTGGTACATGCCTGAAATCCCAGCTACTCGGGAGGCTGAGGCAGGAGAATCTCTTGGACCTGGGTTGCAGTGAGCTGAGATTGCTGCCACTGCACTCTAGCCAGGGCGACAGAGCAAGACTCTGTCTCGAAATAAATAAATAAATAAATAAAATTTGGCTGTGAATTCATTTGGTTTGGAGCTTTTGTTTTTTGGCTGGCAGTTTTTATTTTATTAGTGATTTAATTTCAGAACTTGATACTGGTCTGTTTAGGGTTGCAATGTCTTCCTTATTCAATCTTGGAAGATTGTGTGTTTCTAGGAATTTATCCATTTCCTCTAGATTTTCTAGTTTGTGTGTATAGAAGTGTTTATAATAGTCCTTAAAATTCTTTATGTTTCTCTGAGATTAGTTATAATGTCACTTATAGTTATAACATCACTTATCAGTTTTAATGTCACTTTGCTGTTTCTGATTGAACTTATTTGGATTTTCTTTTTTTCTTTGTTAATATAGCTAGCAGTCTATTGATCTTGTTCACCCTTTCAAAGAACCAACTTTGGGTTTTGTTGACTCTTTGCATGGACTTTATGGTGTCAATTTCATTTAGCTCTGCTCCGATTTTACGTATTTCTTTTCTCCTGATAGCTTTGGAGTTAGTTTGTCCTTTTATTTCTAGTTTTTCTAGGGGTGATTTTAAGTCCTTTATTTGAGATATTTCTGACTTTGTGAGGTAAGTGTTTACCACTGTGAACTTTCCTTTTAACACTGCTTTTACTGCATACCAGGGATTTTGGTATGTTGTCTTTGTTTTTATGCATTTCAAAGACTTTTTTTTAAATTTCTGCTTAATATGGTTGTTTCCTAAAAGTTATTCAGTAGTAAGTTGTTTAATTTTCATATAATTTTGTAGTTTCGAGAGCTCTTCTTGGTATTGATTTATTTCTGTTTTTATTCCACTGTGGTCCAAGAGTATGGTTGGTATGATTTTTATTTATTTTTTTAATTTGTTGAGGCTTGCTTTATGGCTGAGCATGTGATTGATCTTATAGTGTATTCTGTGCGCAGAGCAGAAGAATGTATATTCTGTTGTTGATGGGTGGAGTATTCTATAGATGTCTATTAGGTTCAACTGGTCAAGTCTTGAGTTTAAGTACAAAATATCTTTGTTATCTTTCTGCTGTTGAAGTTGCCCATCATTATTGTACAGCTAAGTCTTTTAATAGGTCTAGAAGTACTTTTTTGTGAATCTGAGTGCTTAAGCATTGGGGATGTATATATTTAGAATAGTTAAATCTTCTTGGTGAAACAAACCTTTTCCCTATGTAATGTCCTTGTCTTCTTTTCACTGTTGTTGATTTAAAGTTTGTCAGATATAAGAATAGTGACCTCTACTCTTTTTAGTTTTCCATTCCTGTGGTAGATCTTTCTCCAATGCTTTATTTTGCATCTATGGATATCATTACATGTGAGATAAGTCTTTTAAAGAGAGGAGACAGAGGGGTCTTGTTTTTAATCCAGCTTGCCACACTTAGCCTTTTACATGGGGCATTTAGACCATTTACATTCAAGTTTAATATTGATACATGAAGTGTCAATCTTATCATGATGTTGTTAGTTGGTTGTTTTGTAGTTTCTATTGTGTGGTTGCTTATAGGGTCTGTTGGCTAGGTACTTAAATGTGCTTTTGTGGTAGCACGTATCATTCTTTTATTTCCATGTTTAAAACTACCTTAATTAAGGATCTCTTGTAAGACAGGTCTAGTGGTAAAATATTCCCTTAGTACTTACTTGTCCAGAATAGATTTTATTTCTCTTTCTTATATGAAGCTTAGTTTGGTAGGATATGAAATTCTTGGCTGGAATTTCTTTTCTTTAAGAATGCAGAAAATAGGCCCCCAATTTCTTCTGGCTTATAAAGGTTTCTGGTGAGAAGTATACTATTAGCCTGATGGAGCTCCCTTTCTATGTGATCTGACCTTTATATCTAGGTGCTTTTAAGATTCTTTAGCATTGACCTTGGACAGTCTGGTGACTATATGCCTTGTTGATATTCATTTTGTATAATATCTCACAAGTGTTCTCTGGATTTCTTCAACATGATTATCTACTTCTCTAGCGAGATTAAGGAAATTTTTTTGAAAGATTTCCTCAAATATATTTTTCAGATTGCTTACTTTTTCTCCTTCTCTCTGAGGAATGTCAAGAATTCATAGGTTTGATCACTTTATATAATCTCATATGTCTCAAATACTTCATTTATATTTTAAAATTCATTTTCCAGGGCCGGGTGCAGTGGCTCATACCTGTAATCCCAGCATTTTGGGAGGCTGAGGTGGGTGGATCGCTTGAGGTCAGGAGTTCGAGATCAGCCTGGCCAACATGATGAAACCTTGTCTCTACTAAAAATACAAAAAGCTGAGGCAGGAGAATCACTGAAACCTGGGAGATGGAGGTTGCCTGGGCTGAGATCACGCCACTGCACTTTAAAAAAAGGGAGGAAAAAAAAAGAATTTCTTTTCCTTTATTTTTGTTTGATTAGGTTAGCTTAAAAGACCAGTCTTCAAGCTCTAAAATAGCAGACCAAAAAATAAAGCTCTGTTGAACTATCAAGATGTCTTTCTACAATTTTGTATTCTTTTACCTTTGTTTTGGCTCTTCTTTTAATATTTTGTTCTCACATATATTTGCAAGTGGAGAATTCCTTTTTGGCAAGTATACATGTTTTTACAGCCATGGCTGTACTATACTCTATCTTTTCATGAAATTCTAGCTTAATACAAATTTAGATAAAGTTGATTTTACTTTGGAACTTGAGGTCCGAGACATTAATTTAACCCTCAAGCTCTCTAGTTTCTCTATTAATTAAATGAAGAAATTGTACTAGATAAGCATTAAAGCTCTTGATTATTTTTCTCTTCCCAGAAAGTTGTAAGAATATGTTACCTGCTATTTGAAAAAGATGCGTTCTGGAAGCTTATAAGCTAATAGGCAGTTTTGCATATCAGTAGTGAGTGCATATTTTTCTTTCTCCTGAAGAGCTAAAGGGTGGGCATCTGGGCCCAGGAGATAGCAGTGGATTGTCAGGCTGAACATCTTGACTCAGTTCCCATTATCTATAAATGTGCCTTTAATGATGATTTCATGAGAAGGAGGTATAAGTAATACCATTGGCTTTCCTTATATATGGTACTAGTTTTGAGATTATAACTAAAGTAATGTGCTAGGATCATTGGGTTTTTTATTAAAAGAAATAGTACCTAGAGCTTTATTTTAGTATAAGCAATGATGTTTGGCTACCTGACATAATCATAAGGTAAAATTTAGGACTAATGAGGCCTATTTCCCAAATGAAAGCAATTTTAGTAATTTACATGAGTCACCATGACAAGTTTTCCCTTGTGACCAACGCACAATTTAACTTCGCTGAAATCTATTAGAGATAAAAACAATTTCCTAGAGTTTCAAATCTTTGTGCATATTCTTTTATTTTTATTTTTTATTATTTATTTATTTATTTATTTGGGACAGAGTCTCGCTCTGTCGCCCAGCTGGAGTGCAGTGGCGCGATCTCAGCTCACTGCAACTTCTGTCTCCTGGGTTCAAGAAATTCTCTGTCTCAGCCTCCCAAGTAGCTGGGATTACTGGAGCCTGCCACCATGCCTGGCTAATTTTTGTATTTTTAGTAGAGTCGGGGTTTCACCATCTTGGCCAGGGTGGTCTTGAATTCCTGACCTCCTGATCCACCCACCTCAGCCTCCCAAAGTGTTGGGATTACAGGCATGAGCCACCGCTCCTGGCCCTTGTGCATATTCTTAATTGCTTCCAGCTATAGCCAAGCTGATTCTGGATGAACCTGCACATAGAATTAGAAGAAAAATAAGAACTCCAAGTTTATTAACTTAAGAAAATGTAATCTGTATATATATTTTGTCAAGCTCATACTAAACTTTGCAATCATTTCTACTTTCTTGAAAGCAGCTGATGGACCAAAGAGTATCTCAAGCATTATTTATCACCATCTCATTTTTTGTAGCATTAATGGTGTTCTGTTTCCTTTCCAAGCAGAAATATATGAAGTGACTTGCTTTACTGTATGGAGAACCCATGCATCATTCATAAATGGTCTTTTACATTTAACGTAGCACAATAGGTTTTCAACAATTTTCCATTTTGAATTGGTATATATCAAGTGGGTTCAAAGATGATGCTGCAATGTCCACATTTTAAATTATAGAAGCCCTCTCAACCTCTAGTCTCTTTCATTGTGTGGTATTTTATTTAATTCTGGTGTGGTGGTGGTGGTGGTAGTGTGTGTGTGTGTGTGTGTGTGTGTTAGGGAAAGGAACCTTCAAAAATAGGAACTGCTTCAGATGGATATGGGCAGAAAAAAATCATTAGTATATAGCAGTTTCCATATTCTCTTGTTTTTTTTTTACTTCGTAACTGTCACTAAAGAAGGAATATACATACTGTTAGTTTCCTACTGCTCTCTTAACAAATAGCAATAAACTTGATAGCTTAAAACAACAGAAATTTATTATATTACAGTTCTCAAGGCCAGAAGTCCAAAATCAAGGTGTCAGCAAAGTCATGCTCCCTTTGAAGGCTGTAGGGTAGAATCCTTCCTTACCTCTTCCACATTCTGATGGCTTCAGCCTTTTCAACTTGCGCCTGTGTAACTTCAATCATTGTACCCTTCTTCACATGGGATTCTTCTCTTCTGCTTCATATCTTCTCCTCCTCTGAATTATTCCATCTCAAAATCTTTAGCTTAATTATATCTGCAAAGAAGATTTTTTCTAAACAAGGTCACATTTACATTTTTCAGGGATTAGAATATGAACATACCTTTTGAGGAGGGCCATCATTCAATCCGCTGCTAATCAGGCCAAAAGCACAAGCATATAGCTAGAGGAAAATCTTATCTACTTCTCTGCATCTGGCAACCAAGTTCCTGATTCGTTTCCTTACATGGATAATTCCAATTAGATAAGAAAATCTCAATTAAAAAATATAGTCGACTGCTGCTTACCTTCTTTTTTTCTGAGGCACACAGTGTCTTGATCCTTCTACTTTCTAAATACATCTCTTTGTATCTTTCATGGCTCTCTTTTTGCTTCATTCTTTCCATTTATTTTTCTCATTTTTTCTATCTTTGGTGTATAGACCTTGACTTTACTGTAGCTAGAAGGAAAAGGAAAAATGTTTCGGTTGCATGTATATTATCCACTGCTTCAAATCCAAATCACACTGTAACCAGTTTTTTTAAGCAGGGATAGGGGTTGAGAATGTGCTGTTATGTATGTGCACAGTGAGGCCAAGTAAAAAAATTGAGACTACTAGAGAAATAAATTGACAGACAATAAAATAAGTAAAATGATTTACAACTTATTTGAAAAATATGTGATGAGCTAAAAGGACAGATTTGTGTCAGAGAGAAATTATGTGAATCCTAGAACTGGAGAATAGGGAGAAATGATTGCAAGGAGAATAAAATCAGGATAAATCACTTGACAATACCCTTCCAAAATTATCTGAAGAATTGAGAACTTCACTAATTAATAAGTTTCTACCTTAACTGCTAAATTTATATGTAAATATTTTTCCATTTTCACAAGCATTTATTGAGTGCCTACTGTGCACTAGATACTTTTTAGTGTATTGATTCTGGTATAAATTCAGAAATGCTATTGTGTTGGATCCTAGGTATGCGTGTGGTAACCAAAGTCTGCAAACTCTGTTCCCTGGTTTACACAATAGAGAAAATATAGCATATGATAGAAAAACAAATGTAAACAAGTAAAACAAATAGGCAAACAAGGAATTTTCAACTGAGTTTTGTAAAAGTCAAATTATACTCAATGGACACTATATTTGAATGGTTTAAGATGTTTGGAAATTAGTTAAATGTCAGAACAGTTTTTGTGCACAGGGTGATTTTAATAAAGATTAGAAAACTGTAATAATGCTGCTGAGGATCAATAAATAGACCTTAATATTAGAAAATAATATGGTTGTATTCTCATACTGAAGTATGGAAGAAGAATGTTATGATTAGTATAGACATTTTTTCTTGCCATGGATGTTATGTAAAAACAATTTTTAGAATTTATTGAAGCTATAACAATAGAAAGTATTTCTAAAAAGTTCTTATTCACATTCTAAATTTTCATTAGAGTCATAGGAAGCTTCAGCATAAACCTTAAGATTTTACATTTCAGCTCAAGTAATATGCACATAAAATTTGACATTTTCCAAAGAAGAGGAAAATTTCAGATCAAACGTTGATACATACTTTTTTTCATCATTGCTTTTCTCCATTCCTTAAATTCTTATTCTGGTTTAACGTCATGACAATCTCTCATTTCACTGACATTTCATAAAAAGAACACAAGGATTTTCTAATAAAGGCTTTAGAGATCTCTAATTCTTCTTTGGAAATTGGGCACTTACTTTCTGTGCATTTAAATCACTTCTAAGATAATTATCTCTCCTAGTCTCTACAAACATAAATATAACTGTTCTGCTTTCTAAGTCATGGTTTTCTTTAAGTATACTTGCTATATCTTCACTTTCTGTGCATGAATATCAGATTAGGTCTCATCAAAAGCGATCTTTGTTTGAAAAGTAATTTCAAAGCCAACTAGCATCATAACAACACATTTTAGCTTGCACCTTTCCGTCCTGCTCAGAAAACACAAGGTGATGTTTGTCACTTATATTTAGAGTCAAGTGATCTCCAAGAAGCATACTGGATAAGTTCACATAATGCCAGGTTCCTGACAAGAGTTTCTTGTTGGTTGGCTTCAGTAGCTCTTGCTCAAGAATTGCAGAAGTACATGTTTCTGTAACACATACTTCCTCAATAACCCTATTAGGTAATCTTAATATCATTTCCCTGTACTCTGGGAGGCTGTGTTTTTGCTAAAAAATCCCTTTGCTTTTTAACTTGAAAAAATAATCAGAATTTATTGACTCTGTGAATATCTTTGAATAGACCACCAAATGATAATAAATCAATAAACAGAAGCACAATCTGTATTTTTGGAAACATGTTTATATCTTAAAATAGGCTAAAAATATTGTAATATTTTAAAAATTTATATATGGCTCATCAGAAGCTCATTATTGCTCATTGTCTGCTAGAGAATATACTTCTTTAGTTCTTTGTAGGATTCAGAGCTATTTCTGGATCTCAGTTATAAGGCACCGGCTGAATCATTCACATTGTCTCTGAAACTTGGGTTGGCTCAAGGCCAAGTTGTTCAGAAGACTTTCTGCTAATCGTATTTTAGTCTTGTCTTTGTAAAAGGCTATGAATTATCTTAATAGAATATCTGTTAAGCAATAGTTTAGTGAGACCTTAGCTTTCACTTTAATAACCCATTGAAAGGAAATATAAGTGTAAAAAAGCAGTCTTTATGAGTGGTTTAGATCATAGACTCTGGACTCAGACAATCCTGATTTCTTTTTTTTTTTTTTTTTTTTTTTTTTGAGACGGAGTCTCGCTCTGTCGCCCAGGCTGGAGTGCAGTGGCGGGATCTCGGCTCACTGCAAGCTCCGCCTCCCGGGTTCACGCCATTCTCCTGCTTCAGCCTCCGGAGTAGCTGGGACTACAGGCGCCCGCCACTACGCCCGGCTCATTTTTTGTATTTTTAGTAGAGACGGGGTTTCACCGTTTTAGCCGGGATGGTCTCGATCTCCTGACCTCGTGATCCGCCCGCCTCGGCCTCCCAAAGTGCTGGGATTACAGGCGTGAGCCACCGCGCCCGGCCGACAATCCTGATTTCTAATTCTCACTCTAGCAATTGGTGGTTATTCAACTTTAATAAACCTGCACAACCTTGCTCACAGATTAATTTTTCCATTTCTACAATGAAGACATGATATCTCATACTCTCACAGTATTATTTTGGCCATGAAACAAGCTCATACTAAAATGCTTAACACATCGTACACATAAATATTAACTAATATTAAAATCTAGTTTATTCAAGAAGAATATTTTGAGAGGAGTTTGCTTTAGTCCTTGACATGACTTTCTGTACACTTCCAGGCAATCAGTAATAATAGATAGATAAATGAAGAAACTAAAGCACAATTATTCAAAAGAGATAAACACAGAACTCCTCTTTGATTAGAAGGATCTTGCCCGCACCTAGAGTAGAAACTTACTTCTTCAGAATAGTTTGTCACAACTATTATCTTGTATTTTTATCATAGATCTTATTTATTTGACTTTTAAAACAAGCATACTTTTAAAATATGTTAGAAGGGGAACAAAACTAGCAGAGCTGGGTGATATGAAAGTGACCTTAAGAGCTAATTGTTTAAAATTTTGCAAGAAAATACATATTATTTTGCAAATATTCCCTGGAATGTGCACTTGACCTATCTTTTCTTCAAACGAAGTTATTCTGGACAGACTGCTAGCATATGATAAATGTGTACTATGAGTAAGTTACTATTGTAGGACTAGCTGAACAAAGACAGAGGACTTTTTTAAAAAAGCAATCAGCTGTTTCTGGGATGTTTCACGGTCCCAAACTGGAAACATCAATTAATATGTTAAAGAGCTAATCTTTATTTCTACTTCTACATAAGTACAGGAGCAATATATCTCTGGAAGTATATAAACCATTTCTCAATAATACATAATTTTATTTTGTTCATATATTTGTGTCCTTCACACTTTGTGAAATTTACCAGCGAATGCATTATCATTCATTTTAATAAGTTTATTCCGCAATTTCAGGGGAACACAGGGCAGCTCTAGTTCTCAATACATAAAAGGAAAGCAAGTGGCCCGCTGGCTGAAAGGTAGCTATGTAAATATTAGCAAGCAGAGTTTAAATGCTTGGCATTTATCCAATTGACCAGAGGATTCTATATCTACACCATTAGAATAATCTTTAGAAGTCATAAGAGGAATCCCCCAAAGTGTCATATCCCTTCCTTTAAAAATACCATGCATGTCACTGAGTGTACCATATGGTATTTATATCACTTTTTAGTTTTATTAGTTTAATCTGAACAGAAAAATATTCTTATGTATATGGGTGCAGCAAATGGTTGAAATGATAGAACTGTGTCTAAGGCAAAGTTATTTTAAAAAAAACATACTTGTAAGCCTGTGCAACCAGATAGAACATTTTATGGCTAAAAGCTTAAAAATATATTTCAGATAGAGAGATCAGTAGAGAGACAAAATATTGATCAGATATCCAGATTATACTAGAAAATTTTATTTATATGCAGAGCTAATTTCCATTCCGTTACAATTAATATTGTTTTAGACATGTATGAAAATAATATATTAATAAATATTTATTAACGTATGCTGGGGAATGAGATAAAAAAATGAATCTGTTCTATAACAATATGCATCTCCAGTTCTAGAAAAGGTTAAGACAAAATTTAAGGCATTGAAAAGAATTAGCTCTTTATCTTCTTTTAATTTTTAGACTGGGTCCAGAATCAAAAATATATTTATGGAACTATCAGGTTGATTTCAAAATTTAATTGGTCTCTAAGATGTTGATCCAATATCTTTTTCACTTTTCACCTAAAAATAATTATTTATTATGTTATATATGTTTAATAGTATAAATCTTTTATTCATATCAGCACCATGGTTAGGCCAGAGAGTTCCCTAGAGGCAGAACGGCTTCAGTTCCCAGACCTCGGCATATAGACTTTTCTTTTGTTCTTAATTTTAGTCCAGGGTAATGGTTGACAACCTTGAAATTCAGAAGGATCACTAGAGAGATACATGCTACACTATGCTATTTAACTTTATAGACAATTTACAGGATATTCAAGGATAATTGTGATTAGTTGTCTGCTTTTTGCCTTTTCAAGAAAAACTTAGGTTCTAATCTCTATAGAACTGTGATTCCTCTCTAATTGTACCATGACATAACATGTTTATTGTACCTATTCACAGTAAATCCTAATTGCAACATTTCAATCCACTTTATTCACATAACTGAAAGCAAGGAACAAGTTTTTTTTTTTTTTTTTTTTTTGAGACAGAGTCTCGCTCTTTCGCCCAGGCTGGACTGCAGTGGCTCTGTCTTGGCTCACTGCAAGCTCCGCCTCCCGGGTTCACGCCATTCTCCTGCCTCAGCCTCCCAGGTAGCTGGGACTACAGGCGCCCGCTACCACGCCTGGCTAATTTTTTTTGTATTTTTAGTAGAGACGGGGTTTCACCATGTTAGCCAGGATGGTCTTGATCTCCTGACCTCGTGATCCGCCCGCCTCGGCCTCCCAAAGTGCTGGGATTACAGGCGTGAGCCACCACGCCCGGCCGGAACAAGTATTTTATGTGGTACTTGCAAATAACTGTAAGTCTCCAAGTCTTAAGAAAAAAATAAATAAATAAAGTTTTTATATCTGCTTAGGTTTCTAGTTTTAAGATTTAGTTTCACAAAACTTTCTCCATTCCAGTGCTAAATGCAACTCAGAGTTTTTCAAAAAAACAATATAAATGAGACTCTCTGCTAGGAACATATTCCTCAAAAGAGATCAATGGCAGAAAAAGTCATAGACCCAATTTCTATAAATAGTTTCCAAAATGCTACTTAATATAACAGTAAGAATTGGTCCAGATGGCTCTGTTTGGCTGACATGGTAACTCTTCCAGTAAATATAGACATTAGATGATGATTCATTACTATAGCACTTGGGAGATTTCATCTTCTTAAAAAAGAATCCCATTTAAAAACATATTAAGCCAACTTTGTGTCTGTCTCATTCTCTCAAAGCCAGGACTACTCTAAAGACTTGTAGGAGAGAAGACAAAGGTTCTGTAGTGATATGGTTTGGCTCCTGGCCCCAATCCACATCTCATGTGGAATTGTAATCCCCACATATTGAAAGAGGGGCATGATGGGAGGTGATTGGATGATAGGGACCGATTTCCCCATGCTGATCTCTTGATAGTGAAGGAGTTCTCATGGGATCTGATGGTTTAAAAGTGTATTCCCCCCTCACTCTCTCTCTCTCTCTCCTGCTCTGCCGTGGTAAGAAGTGCTTGTTTCCCCTTCACCTTCTGCCATGATTGTAAGTTTCCCGAGGCCTCCAAGTCATGCTTCCTGTTAAGCCTGCAGAACTGTGAGTCAATTAAAACCCTCTTCTTCATAAATTACTGGGTCCCAGGTAGTTCTTTATTGCAGTGTGAGAACGGACTAATACACGTAGTTACCTTGTAATGGAAAGAAATTAAAAATAAAACACCATTTAAACTTTCTTAACAAAGATGAAATTGTTAGTTTATAAATCTATCAGAATATGTACAGGACTTATATGCTAATTTGTAAACTCCAAAACACCAATGGAATAAATAAAAGAAGACCTAAATAAATGAAAAGATAAAACTTGTTTACAAATTGAAAAATCCAAACAAAGATGTTGTCTTCATTTTTTAATGCATTATATATAGTTATTAATATATGCACATATATGTAGATAGATGTAGATATAATGTTTTATGCTATTCCTATGAAAACCCAAGCAAGATTTTTCTGTAGATATAGACAAGATTATTCTAAAATTTAGTTGGAAACATAAATGCTAGAATAGTTAAAACAATTTTGAAAATCAAGGGAAAATGTGATAGGAATAATACTAAGTTTCAAGACTTATTATGTAACTATAGAAATCAAGATTGTGTATTATTGGCATAGGGATAGATACATAGATTAGTGAAACAATAGAGAATCCAGAAGTTGTTTTTATAAAGTTCAATCAACTGATTTTTTTAAAAAAGGTAGAGAAGCAACTGAATAAAGGAAGGACAGCTTTTTCATTAAATGGTGCTGAAACATTGGACATCTATAGACAAAAATACTTCCATACATACGTACATACATACATAAATACATATATGGATACATAAAAATTATAAAAAAAACAAGCCTTTAACAAGCTTTAAAGTTTATACAAAAATTCACTCAAAATGGAAAACAGGTTAACTGCAAAATGTGAACTTATAACACCTTTAGAAGATAACATAGAACCTATAATCCCAGCACTTTGGGAGGTCGAAGTGTATTGTTCGAGGTCAGGAGTTCCAAACCAGCCTGGCCAGCATGGCAAAACTCCGTCTCTACTAAAAATAAATAAATAAATAAAAATTAGCCAGCTGTGGTGGCACATGCCTATGACCCCAGCTACTTGGGAGACTGAGACATGAGAATCGCTTGAACCTGAGAGACGGAGGTTGCAGTGAGCCAAAATCACGCCACTGCACTCCAGCCTGGGTGACAGCAGGACTCTGTCTCAAATAAATAAATAAATAAATAAATAAATAAATAAATAAAATAACATAGGAGAAAATATTTGGGATGTAAGGCTATGTGAATATTTCTTAGACACAAACCCACCTATAAGAATATAAGAAGAAAAAAAGTAACAATCTGGACATCATTCAAATTAAGATGATTTATTCTGCAAGGCTGTTCAGAAGGATATAATGACAAATTGTAGACTTTAAGAAAATATTTGCAAACCACGCATTTGTCAAAGGACTTATATCTAGAACATATAAAGAACTCTAAAAATTCTACAATAGAGACAAACAAATAAACAGTTCAATTAAAATGAGCAAAAATCATAAACTAATGCTTCTGCAAAGAGCATATCCAGACGGAAAATAAGCACATAAAAAGATAATCAACATCAGTGCCCATTAAGAAGAATGTAAATTATGAACGCCATGAGATGTCATTACACTCCTAGCAGAATAGTTAAAATAAAAAATACAGGATGTGGAAAAACTGGATCTCCTATACATTGCTGATGAAAATGTAAAATGGATCGGTCAGCCTGGAAAATTTTATCAGTTTCTTAAAAATTAAACATCACTTATCATAGGAACCAGCAACTGCACTCTTGGACATTTCAACAGATAGAAAAAGTCCATTTGAAGCACTGATCACTAAAAGCTTAGTGTTTGCCAGAGTTTAGGAATAGTGAGAGTTAGGTGGGGATGGTAAAGGCGGATGTTTAAAATGGTATCATGAGGGATAACTTTGTGGTGATGAACTGGTTTTGTGTCTTTACTGTGTTGGTTATAGAACTCTACATGTGATGGATTGACAGAGAAATACACACCTCCTTAAACAAACATGCTCCACCAATGCCAATTCGCCAGGGAGCTTTGATATTTTTCTGTAATTTTGTAAGGTATAACCATTTGGGCAAACTAGATAAAGAGTAGAGGGGTAATCTCAGTACACTCTACTGCAACTTCCTGTGAATCTATAATTATTTTTAAATGTTTAAAAATTTTAAGTTTTAATGTTCTGTGAAATAAAAGTCATTAGGAAAAACTGCACACTGTAGTTTAGCTTTAAGAATCAAACATATATTATTATATTAAAGTACACATTGTGTTCAGTGAAGAAAAAGTATTTTGGTTAAGACCACATGTCCCAAAACTTTTGATCAAAGAACACAAGTTGAGCATTTTCCTGTGAGGACAAAATGGTGACTAGCATACACAGCCCATGTCTGAAGAGAATAAGTGTGTTTACTTGAAAGAATGTATAGGGAAATTGTACAAACACAAGAAAAGTCATGATCTGCTTATTTAGTTAACAGAATTGAATAAAGAAGAATGAAAAATAAAGTTTTCAACCATTTTTTCCTGGAATTTAAAGTAGACACTTGATAAAAAAGACACTTAAAAGGATATTCTAAACTAGACTTAAAAATGAAAATGGGAGAAGCCTTTGGAGAACATGAAAAGATAAATAAATGTACTGTAGCTATCCATAGAAATTCAATTATGTTATCCTGTTTTCAGGAAGTAGAGGTTAGCAGTATTTTTCATAGTGCTTCCTGAACAAATTGGTTTTCTACTTTGGCATTTTTGTGACAAAATAATTTCAGTTCTTATGAGTCTTCATTTCTCTTTCCTATATAAAAAGCATAGAAGATTGTCTTCCACGGTTTTCAAAGCCATTTTCCTTACAGTGACTTCCCTTTAGTCAAAAAGTCGACATTGTTTGAAATTTTACATTTCCTTACATATAAAAGAGTGTTCCAGCTGTACAACTAGGTACAATTTTACAAAATTCACTTTAAAAGTTTTGACTGAAAATATTCTCCAAATTTGGGAATAAGTAAATTTTTCAGAATAACAATTGCTTGAAATTATTTTTAATACTAAATCAATATTTGCAGTATATTTTAAAACGTTTTACAGGTTTGGTATAAAGAATAAATTAGATAATTTTAAATAAAATATAGAATCTTCAGATGTGATATTCTAGAAAAGTCTGCATTATTTATTTTAATTCTTAATTCCTATAACTAGACTTTATTTTTTTTTAGCAGTTTTAGGTTCACAACAAAATTGAGCAGAAGGCACAGAGATCTCCCATATAGCCCCTGCAGGTTTCCCATATACCAAATACACAGCTTTCCCCGTTATCAAGATCCTTCACTAGAATGATGCATTTGTTACAATAGGATGAACCTACTTTTACACATCATCGACCAAGGTTGCTAGTTTGTATTTGGGTTCATTCCTAGTGTTGTACATGAAATAGGTTTTGACAAATGTATAATGACATGTACCCACCATCATGGTATCATGCAGAGTAGTTTCACAGCCATAAAATGGCTTGTGCTCTGTATTCATCCCTGTCTCCCCTCAACCATTAGCAACCAGTATTCCTTTTTCTGTCTCCATAGTTTTACTTTTTCCAGAACGTCATATGGTTGTATCATATATCACATATCCTTTTCATATTGTTGTTTTTACTTCTTTTGTGATTTTGCTAATTTGAATTTTCAAAATGATAAACCAATAATCATAGTATAATTTATTGAGTCTTCCTTTGCCACTATATATTTTTTAATTATTTATTTGTAATTTAAATTTATTTTTATATTGTGTTTTCTTTAAACTCTAATTTTAAGTTGGGGAAGAGGTATGTGTTACATGTTGTTGAGATTAAATTTCTACTTAAGACAAGTTATTTGTCTATCCTAAATTTTATATGCCACTGATTTGTATAGAAGAGAATATTTAATTATTAAGGTGTTCTAATATTTTGATAGTTTTATTAAATTTTCTCTGCCTCTTTTTAGCAATTTAAATATTATTGCTTTCTGCTGGATGAATTCCAGTATTACTTTATTTGATTACTCTAAGATTTGCCTGCAATATTATTGGAAATGTAGAAGTTCTATCCATTAATTAGAAACGAATTTGCATCTTCTCTGTACTTGCTTTTTAAAAACATTATAGAAAAACATAACCAGTTAAAAAATGATAATCAATAATCATGTGCCCACACTAGCTTAAAAATCTATTGGAAGATCTAGTTAATACAAGAAAACAAGGAAAGGAAATAAAAAGTATAATTGGGAAGGAAAAAATGAAACAGTCTTTGTGCAGTGATGACAGGATCATCTCTGCAGAAAAACCCCGAAAATCAGCAACAACAGCAAATCTCCTAGAAATAAAAATAACTTACAGCAAGATTGAAGGATACAAGGTTAATATACAAAAGTCATTCACTTTCCTATATATAATCAATGAACAAATGAAATTGAAATAAAAAACATCATTTACATTAAAATCCCCAAAATGATATATTTTGGTATAAACCTAATAAAATATGTATAGGATTTATACATAGAAAAAACTGCAAAAGTCTGATGAACCAATCAAAGATTTAAATAAATGGAGAGATATTTCATGTTAATGGCCATGAAGATTCAATATTGTCAAGATATCAGTTCTTCTCAACTTGATATATAGATTCAATGCAATACCAATCAAAATCCCAACATGTTATTTTATGAATATTGACAAACTGATTATAAAGTTTATATGGAGGGGCAAAAAACCCAGAGTAACCAATTCAATATTGAAATAGATCAAAGATGGACGACTGACACTACTGAATTCAAGACTGACTACTATGGCGCTCCAGTAATCAACATAGTGTTTTATTGGTGAAAGAAGAGCCAAATAGATCAATGGAAGAGAATAGAGAACTTAGACCCACAAAAGTACAGTCAACTGATCTTTGATGAAGGAACAAAATCAATACAACCCAAAAAGGTAGCCTTTTCCAAAAATGGTGCTGGAACAACTGGATATTCAAGTGCGAAAAAAAAAAAAAAAAAAAAGAAGATGAATCTAGAAACAAACTTTGCATTCTTCATCAAAATTAATGCGTTATTGATCACAAATATAAAATGCAAAACCATAAAACTGTTAGAAAATAACAGGAGAAAAACTAGATGACCTTGAGTATAGCAATAAATTTGCAGATACACCACCAAAGGCAGAATCAATGAAAGAAATAATAAACCGGAACTACAAGAAAGTAAGAGAAGAATCCACAGACTAGGAAAAAATATTTGCAAGACACATATCTGATAAAGAACTGTTATCTAAAATATACCAAAAAAGAAAAAAAAAACCTTTCAAATTCAACAAGAAGAAAACAAAAGAACTGACCAAGTGGTTATGTATTTGAGTATCTTCCTACTGAAGAGGAATAAGAAATAAGACAAAGCAAAAACAAAACAAAACAAAACAACAACAACAAAAAAACCCCGCAAAATTAGACAAAGATAATTCAGTGTCTGGCAGAGCAGAGATCATTTTAAAATAATTAAATAAAATTTCAGGATGAGGAATCTATGTTTATAAAGGAGATAAAGAAGTAGTAAAATCGCCATTTCTGAAAATATTTAGTCTTCCTCTATACATACCCACAAAGGATGTTGTAGAAAGAATGGAGTTATAACTTGATGACGCCTACATTCTTATTAGACGTTAATTACATTATCTCTCTCTCTCTCTCTCTCTCTCTCTCTCTCTCTCTCTCTCCTTTCACCCCTCTCTCTTTCTCAGCAGCTGTTAAAAAAAATAAAAAAGGTCAGCAAAACTATAAAAACTCTAGAAAACCTAGGAAACACCAATCTGAACATCAGCCCTGGCAAATAATTTATTCGTAAGTCCTCAAAAGCAATTGCTACAAAAACAAAAATTGACTAGTGGGATCTAATTAAACTAATGAGCTTCTGCACAGCAAAAGAAACTATCAATAGAGTCACAAACCTACAGAGTGGGAGAAAATATTCACAAGCTATGCATCTGAGAAAGGTCTAATATCCAGAATTGATAAGGAACTTAAACAATTCAACAAATAAAAAACAAATAACCCCATTAAAATTTGGGCAAAGGGCATGAACAGACACTTTTCAAAAGAAAACATACACGTGGCCAACAAATATATAAAAAAAATTCTTATCATTAATAATTATTACAGAAATGAAAACCAATAACATGTCATCTCATATCGGTAAGAATGGCTATTATTAAAAAGCCAAAAAACAACAGATGATAGTGAGGTAGTGGAAAAAATGGAACACTTATGCACTGCTGGTGGGAATGTGAATTAATGCAGGCACTATGGAAGGCAGTTTGGAGATTTCTCAAAAACCTTAACACAGAGCTACCATTTAACTCAGCAATTTCACTAGTGGTTGTATACTCAAAGGAAAATAAATCATTCTACCAAAAACACACATGTACTCATATGTTTATTGCAGCACAATTCATAATTGCAAATACAGGGAATCCTCCAAAGTTCCCACCAATGGTGGACTGGCTAAAAATAAAAATGTACATATACACCATGGAAAACTATGCAGCCATAAAAAAGAATGAAATCATGTTCTTTGCAGAAACATGGATACAGCTGGAGGCCATTATCCTAAGCAAATTAACACAGAAATAGAAAACCAAACATTACATGTTCTCTCTTGAAAGTGGGAGCTAAATATTGAATACACATGGACACAAAGATGGGATCAGTAGACACTGGAGACTGCTTGATGGGGAGTGTGGAAGATGGGTGCGGGTTGGAAGGCTACTGATGGGTTACTACACTCACTTCCTGGGTGACAAGAGCATATGTACACTAAACCTCATTGACACGCAATTTATCCATGTAACAAACCTATAAGTGAATCTCCTGAACCTAAAATAATCATTAAAAAAAAGATCAGAAAGAAAATGTTACTTATTTTGATTCATTAGGCCCATGACCTGTTGAATTCATCCTGGAAACAATGGATTTTAATAAGAATAATGGAGAAAAAGGCATTTCAGCACCATAAGATACAATTTACTCACAAATATTACAATATCTATGTCAAATATTTATTTTATTAAAATTGAAATTCAGTTTAAGGATGCATTTGTCTTTAAAAATATTAAACAGATCTTTCTGCTATTTTATTTTATCTTTAAAAAGAAGAAAGTGTATTCTCCACACTCTACGATGAACTCAAACAAGTCAGCAAGAAAAAAACAAACAATCCCATCAAAAAGTGGGTTAAGGCATGAATAGACAATTCTCCAAAGAAGATATACAAATAGCCCACAAACATGTAAAAAATGCTTAACATCACTAATGATCAGGGAAATGCAAATCAAAACCACAATGCAATCCACCTTACTCCTGCAAGAATAGCAATAATTTTAAAAAAATCTGAAAACCATACATGTTGGCATGGATGCAGCGAAAAGGGAAGACTTCTACACTGCTGGTAGGAATGCGAACTAGTGCAACCACTATGGAAAACAGTGTGGAGATTCCTTGAAGAACTAAAAGTAGATCTACCATTTGATTTATCAATTCTACTACTGGGTATCGATCTAGAGGAAAAGAAGTCATTATTAAAAAAAAGATACTTGTGCATGTATTTTTATAGCAGCCCAATTTGCAATTGAAAAAATGTGGAATCAGTCCAAATGCCCATCAATCAAGGAGTGGATAAACTATGATATATATATATATGATATTATATATGATCATATATGATATATCACATATATGATATATATATGTGATTATATATGATTATATATATGATTATATAGATATATATGATGGAATATACTATTCAGCCATAAAACAGAATGAATGAATGATATTTGCAGCAACGTGGATAGGATTGGAGACTATTATTCTAAGTGAAATAGCTCAGAAATGGAAAACCAAACACAGGATGTTCTCACTCATAAGTAGAAGCTAAGCTATGAGGACGCAAAGGCATAAGAATGATACAATGGACATTGGGGACTCAGGGGAAAATGGTGGGAAGGAGGTGAAGGATAAAAGACTACAAATTGGGTTTAGTGTATGCTGCTCGGGTGATGGGTACACTAAAATCTCTCAAATCACCACTAAAGAACTTACTCATGTAACCAAACACCACCCGTTCCTCAAAAACCTATGAAAATAAAAAAATTAAAAATAAAATAAAATTGAAATTCAGTTTAAGGCTGAATTTGTCTTTAAAAATATTAAACAGATCTTTCTGATATGTTATTTTAACTTTAAGAAGATGAGCACTTTGGGAGGCTGAGGCAGGCAGATCACCTGAGGTCAGGAGTTCAAGACCAGCCTGGCCAACATGTTGAAACCCTATCTCTGCTAAAAATACAAAATTAGTTGGGTGTGGTGGTGCATGCCTGTAATCCCAGCTACTTGGGAGGCTGAGGAAGGAGAATCACTTGAACCTGGCAGGCAGAGGTTGCAGTGAGCTGAGATCGTGCCATTCCACTCCAGCCTGGGCCAAAAGAACGAAACTCTACTCAAAAAAAAAAAAAAAAAAAAAAAAAAAGAGGAGAAAAATATTATCCACTCTCTTCTCAAGGTGTATTCAAATTACTATGAAGAGTTCTTTAATTTTGACATCTTTTCCAAAATGTTGCCTTTGTTACAAGCTGTCCTCTCTCCATTGTTGTAGTGAATAGGCCAATAACTTTGGGTGCATGATGAGTCCAAGCAATGGAATTTGCTGGTTATTTGTCAGTCACCTATTTGGTGAAAAAGATGACCCATTTCCTTCCAGTAACAGTTGGCAGTCATTTACAGAGTTGCTGTTTGCTTGTCTCTTTGATTTTTCTTCTTGTGAAATAGAATGAAGATGGGAAAAGCACTAAGTGCTGCTAAAATCTGTGTACAGTCCAGACTGTCCTTTTCTGGCAAAGAAATGCTACTTACTTCATTTATCTTGTAATCTGTGACAGTGCTTCTTAGAGAGACCCAGTGGGTAAAGATTAAATACCAAAATTAAAATGTCACTTGGTACTTTCAAAGTGAGACTATTACTTGTATTTTAATTTTTCTAATGAGCATTATCTATTTACTAAAATTAATAAGTTTAAAAGAGTAGTAGTCTATTAAAGAAACCCAGATATCTTTTGTTACTGAGCAAAGGCAAAGTTGAAATTTTGACATTTGTATGGAAGAAGAAAGAGACTGTTGAAAATGAGCTGGAAATGATTAGCAGAAAAGAACTCCTCCATGTTAGTAACCAAGTAACCAAGCAATTAATTAATAACACTCATTTGTTCATGCAGCCATTCATTCAACAAATATTCACGGGAGCTAATTACATGCTAGCATCAAATTTCTTTCAAGATTATAGTCCAGTGAACAGTATATATAGGAGCAAGATATTTATCCTTGACCCCAAAGGAGAGTGCATGACATACAGAATAGGAAGTGATGAAAAGGACGGCATATCTGTGTTCTACGAATTGTGTTCTCAGCCACCTTCCTTTGCCCTGCCCACGCCTTCCTCCAGTCTACATATTGAGCCCCGACTATACACAGATTAAGATTGTGTGTCTAGAATAATCTGAATGCACAGTAACATTTCACTTGCCTGGAAATTAGAATTCCAGCAACTTTCAACACACTCAATAGTAATCAACAAAAAATAAAAATTCTTATAGGACATGACTATTATCTCCACATAAAGCATTATTAGACTGAGATTTAATGGTGGAGTAATCGGAATATTTCAGAACATGAAGAAAATAAAATTGATTTTTGTAACTATTATGATCCAGATGTATGTTAAATATGTTGAGTTACATGATCAGATGTATTCAATACAGTAACTGTTTAAACTCTTGTCACTATACTTACATATGAAATAAAAGGCTCAGAAATTGTAAGATCAAACCAAATTTAAACTTCAGTATTAACTCAAAGCTCATGAAATGATCCTACCATAAAGGTCCTTATCAGATGATTTCTCATGTTATAATATCACTTGTGTATATTACGCAATTGGTTTTGGAAAACAAATTTTCTTAGAACTTGGTTATAAAATGAAATTATGAAAAAGTTAAAAAATGCTGGGAGGAATGGAGAAGAAATTAGAGATTTAAAATATGTAACTTCTAAAAATAATAAATAAAGGCAATTTTAACTAATTTAGCTACTTACGTTGCTTTTGAGAAACGATGATTTTCATTTTTCATGAAGAGTAAATTTTTGGAAGCGAGACAGTGCGGCTCACCCAGTCATGGCCTCTGTTCTACCAGACTTTTAGTTTTTCATTTGTTTGTAGTGATCTTCTGGATTTTTAGAACGCTGGAGTCATTGCTGACATCTTGGTCCTGTAAAGGAGAGGAAAAATGTCAGTTCTAAAGCTAATCCCAGTGTGTTCTCTACACATATTTTTTAACCTTCTGGTATGGGTATCTATTATGTTTTAGAGGGCATCTCACATTATATTAGCATACCTATTTATCATATTGTATTAGTATTATATTGTAATATATTTACAGAATTCTTGGCCAGATACACAACAGAAAAATTATAGAGAATCTAAATCATTATTTTTGTTGGTCTATCAGTTGCCAAAAAGTACTCACTTATTATGTTTCAATAATTAGAATGTGAATGAAAAAGAATAAATATTTGAATGTTGTTTTAACTTTCTTGTTTTGATCTGCTAAAATATGACTGTTTCTAACCCTGTAATTTTCCTGTTGGTCCTTGATATTTCTTTTCCTGCTCTACCCAGCACTGAGCTTCTCTTATATCTTTCCTTCCCTGCATTGGAATTATTTTGCAGTGTGTCTATCGATTTCTCTAACAGAGTATGTTTTATCATATTAATTTGAAATCTTTTCCATTTCTGTAGCGTTAATATTTCCTCTTTGATCTATAGCCTTCTTTTAGATTTTGCCCAAGGTCATATTGTAAATCTAGAATCCATACACATACAAAGTGTTATTATGATATTATAGTTACACAGTGTAAACCAATACATTTTTCTTATGTGCTATAGAGATACAATTGAAATGACAAAGTGATGGATAGACAGCTACACTCCGCTTTGTACTGATTATAGAACAATCAACTCTGTGTTTCATTTTGTTAGTTCCACCACGTGTTTAGTAAATTCATCTAAATTACTTGTTTCCCTTAGAGTTATTTCCATATCTAGAAAAATTTAAATGCATCTTGGTATTTTCATGAAATAATACAATACAGTGCTCTAAATAAATTAGGATCTATGAAATGAGAGAAGAAAATCTAGGTCACTAATTTTAGTTCATATCAAATCAACATGGCTTAGAGGCATTACAATGCTTTTTAATTCTCTTTGTCTTTAGCAGCTCAAAAATCTTTACAATTTTTAGGTGATTCTTACACAAAACCTTTGTGGCAGACAGATGGCTAATTTAACTTATGAGAAAATGAGAACAACAAGAAGTCAAACGATCAACCTGAACAACTAACCAATGAAAAAATGAAAGCAAATGTAACTCTATTCTCTTTGTATTACTTTTTATTTTGAAAACAAAATCCTATGAAGTTTCTGATTTTGAAAATAAAATTCTCTAAAGTTATAATTATAGCATATCATTGTTTCCTGACTGCTCTGTTCCTAGATGTTTTCACTTACTCAACCATAGACGAAGAATAGTAAGTGTAGAAAGGATGCCGTGAGCCTATTTTGGTAAGTTTCTAGTTTTGGAACTGCTGCCCAAATGTATTTACCACTAAGAAGTATATAGTGTAATAGTCCGTATATTTAAAAAATAATTCAGTTTTATTATGTGCTCTGTGCAGAGAAATTAAAAGTACAAAAATGACAATATGGACTTATATATATATGTGTATATATATGTATATATGTGTATATATATGTATATATGTGTATATATATGTGTATATATATGTGTATATATATGTGTATATATATATGTGTGTGTATATATATATGTATATATATAGTGGAAATGTAGGTGGCATTTCTCTTCTATTTAAAATTTTTCCATAGTTTTCAAATTTTCCATGGTGAAATTATATTGATTTGAGGTAATAAAAAATACTTAAGGCCAGACATGATGGCTTACACCTATAATCCCAACACTCTGGGAGGCCGAGGCGGGCGAATCACCTGAGGTCAGGAGTTCGAGACCAGCTTGGCCAACATGGTGAAACCTTGTCTCTACTAAAAATACAAAAATTAACCGAGCATAGTGAGGGGCACCTATAAGCCCAGCTACTTGGGAGGCTGAGGCAAGAGAATCGCTTGAACCTGAGAGGTGGAGGTTGCAGTGAGCTAAGACTGTGCCATTGCACTCTAGCCTGAGTGACAAGAGCAAAACTCTATCTAAAAAAAAAAAAAAAAAAAAACACTTAACCATGGCATCTTTTCTTTCACTAGAATTCTTTCTAAAGCCCAGTATGGTGGCTCACACCTGTAGTCCTACCTGAGTCAGGAGGATCACTTGAGCTCAAGAGTTTGAGGCTGCAGTGAGCTATGATTGTGCCACTGCACTGCAGCCTTGGTGATAGAGTGAGACCATGTCAAAACCAAAAAAATTATTGCTAGTAATAATTTACCATAATCACCATAATTAGGAATCAATATGTACAGACACACATACTGTATTGAAATTTAAAAAGCATTTTATATCTGTTTATACATTTTTATATAAAAGTCTTCTACCCTGAATCTATCTTTTTATTATTTAGTATGTCACTTTCTAAAATTTTAAATTTAACAAACCACACATAAAAGGTTAAAGCACAGTCTGCCAAGAAATTCAGACAGGGATAAAACATTGAGAGTCCAGTCACTAAATCTAAATAGAGAAACAAGGATGGGGTGTATGTCATCCAAAGGATTTAATTTTGTGACCTCTGAAAGTATTGTTGAGAAACAGAAGGAACAAACTCCTTTTGCCAGACACGCTAAGTTGCCATCCAAACAGCCTTGCGTTGTACAATCTCAATTGCTTTTTAAAGGAACATCCTGTTCAAATAATGACTATGTACTTCACATTCATCCTTATACAAGAAAAGGTTTATTATGACTCATTTATTTTCTTGGAAAAACCCATCAACATCTCAATTTATGTTACACTGAGATAAATAAAGAATCACATTTGTAATACAAAAAAGCCACAGCAGCAGCACAGAATTCGCAATCAAGCAGGCTAACAAATTTTTTCTCAAGAAAATATTAACAAGTTTTCAAACCGTTTCTGCTCCCACATCCACAGCATGAATCCTTATGTTCTCAGTTGGTTAAAATTGTGTGTAGGTATCTGCAAGATAGTTATGATCATTGAAAAAACATGGGCGACATTCATGTCATTTTCTAATCAATCTTAAATTTTAACACATCTTACCCACCAAAGCAAAGAGAAAATTCCAAGGTCCAATTTCTCAGACTTCTCCCTTTCCTTAATTCTATGTGTTATTCACACAATGACTAAAATGATTTTTCAGGTTGGCCACTTACGTGGCTCTACATCTCTAGCTCCATATCTCCTGAGCTAAATTCAGCACATATATTTACCGTGATGTACTGGTTGATCATCTTTTATCAAACCTGGTTTTTGTATGGACGAAAACTAAAGCCAAGTATTATTTTCCTACTTCTGAAATTTCCCAACTCAGGCTTCTTCCATGTGTCAAGTTAATTAATTGCTCACAATGACAGAGACTTGGAATCTATGTATTTCTACTCCCACCCCTGGCCTGCCCTTCTCTCATTGGATCTGGAGAGTGATCTCCTTCACCCACCTTACACCCTTATCAGAGAAAATGGTTCTGAAAATCTTCAGCTAAGAAAGTATCTTGTATGCAAGTATGCAGAGCTGGTTTGTCCTTTCCAAAGGACAATCTTATCCTACATAAGACTGAGACTGGGGAAAGACAGGAAGCATGCTGAATGTAATTAGGAAGTAGGTAAGAATTTGTTTAATTTCCTATTCCACAGGAGGCCTGGAGTAAAAGAGTATTCTTACATAAACACACTGATCAAAAAGAAAGGAACAGTATGTTTTTCTTTAATTCTTCCTTTACTTGTCCCAAAGTTGGTGGACAGAGCCATGAAGGATCTAAAAGAACTGATATTTGAGGACGTCTTGATAAAGATAATGCCTGTTTTCAAAGTAATTATTCATCACAAGTTGGTGAGAGTTGGAGAGAGGCGGAGAAGAAGAGAATGACAGAAATATGGAAGAAGAAATGAACTTACTGGCGGAAGCTTGTCTGACCAGCTTTGCCTCTTGACCAGGACGCTCTGCATTCCTTGGCTGGTGAAAGACAGGATGATGAATCAGGTATCCCACTGGACTTTTGGAAGAGGATCTTAAAGTCTGGATGGATCTAGGTCTTTATTAATGCATTGCAATTCTTTTGTTATTCTTTGATTTCTTGATTGGGCCAAATTTGACTGACGTCAGTTCTTCACATGGGAAGAGCAGCATGGACTGTAAGCATCATAAGGAAGATCTTGAGGGATTTACTTTTCTCCTGAATGAGATCAAGATGAGTTCTCAGGAACTGAGGGCCTTATGAGGTGGAAAGAGAGTGCTGCATCTTTAAAGACTAATCAGATGACAAAGGAGACCAAAAAGAGGGTAGCACACATTTATATCAACACAGCTACACAGTTCTGACAGCACTAGAGCACAAGGAACAGGAGTCCTCCAGAAAAAAAAAGAAGTGAAAACAGGGGAAATTCAATTACTAATGGGTCATTCTTGTGGGAACTCCGAACCATTATAAGAAAGAAATGGATGACACCTCTCATCATATGCATGACTTATGGCAATTTATGCTTTCAGCAATAATTTTCTTTATTGAGTCAATGGGCAATGACATAACCTATGGCCTGTTAGGAGTCACAGAGCTAAATCAGGAGTAGACAGAAAAATGGTGGAGATAAAAATGATACCCCAATAGACTGGGTTTGGCCTCTAATTGACACTATCATTTGGAAAGGACACCTCGTCAGCCAAATTTTTATCAACTAAGGTATGTCAGAAACTTGTTTCTTGACAGCAACCTACAATTCTCTACAATTATGTTTCACTAACTCTTTTAAAGGTGGAATGCAATAGTCACTAACTATATCTTGAAGTCCAATATATTGTTTCCATATTCTGTTGGTCAAGTAACAGACCATTCAGTAGCCCATTTTAACCCAGTATTTTTTTTACTATTACACCCTAGTTCCTGTGTCTAAGACCATAGGATACACTATCCTGTGTTTTCCTTGTTACTGTGACACACCTCTTAGGTTCCTTTCCCCTGCTTGACACTGAAGAGCTTCTTTCTTTCTTTCTTTTTCTTTCTTTCTCTCTCTTTTCTTTCTCTTTCTTTCTTTCTTCCTTCCTTCCTTCCTTTCTTTCTTTCTTTCTCTTTCTTTCTTTTTTTCCTTCTTTCCTTCCTTCCTTCCTTCCTTCTTTCTTTCTTCTTTCTTTCTTTCTTTCTTTCTTTCTTTCTTTCTTTCTTTCTTTCTTTCTTTCGTTCTTTCTTTCTTTCTTTCTTTCTTTCTTCCTTTCCTTCTTTCTTTCTTTCTTTCCTTCTCTTTTTTTTTGAGACGGAGTCTTGCTTCGTCTCCCAGGCTGGAGTGCAGTGGCATGATCTTGGCTCACTACAAGCTCCACCTCCCAGGTTCAAGCAATTCTCCTGTCTCAGCCTCCCGAGTAGCTGAGACTACAGGCACCTGCCACCATGCCTGGCTAATTTTTTGTGTTTTTAGTAGAGACGGGTTTTCACATTGTTGGTCAGGCTGGTCTCGAACTCCTGACCTCAGGTGATCCACATACCACGGCATTTGCTATATTTCCCTTTTACAAACCTTAGAAATACCTTGAAAGCCTCATCTTGGGAATCTCAATAGTGCAGATACAAAATAAACATTACAAGTATTTTGTTGGTCACTTTAAAGATGGAGCTGAGCAAAGAAAGGCTGACCTGCCTTTTCCTTTCAATCCTCCAACTATATATCTTACTTCTTTTTTTTCTTTTTAAACGCCAACATATTGCCTTTGGTGGGTTGAAGAAAGACTAGTAGTGGCAAAATCATAATGAAACAAACTGCCAATGATAGATGGCATTTAAATCTTAGGTTTAAGGTGTAACTGAAGTAATGTGACATTAAGTGAACAACTCACAGATTCAATAAACTGTGTAGATGTGAAGAAGACATGGGCCATACTGCTATGTGAATTAAATGAAGAGACACAATCAACAAACTGAGAGAAAACTGGGGACCAGTTGGGGTCTATGTGGGTGTTCGTGGCATCTGTTTCTCCCAATCAATAACCTTTCTATTATGAAAGAAGTAGAGACACTGTGTCTCCTTAGGTCCTCACTCATTTTCTCTCCCGGTATGTGTCATAGTAGTTTCTCTAGGTACTTACCTGTTCCAAGATCCTTTGGGGGCTCATGTCTGAGGTTCTTCGATTTGAACCAGCCCTTTTTCAAAGCAGCTACTTCTTCCACAGAGTACATAGAACTCCACTGGCATTTTAAACACTATTATCCATTTCTTTTCTTTAATCCTTTGCTTCTTTGCTTGAAAGCAAGGAGCTGGATCCCTAATATATGCAAAAGTTCCTGGAGAGTAAAAGTCCTCTTCCTATCTGAACTTAGTCAATCAGTTGCCTTTGTGTTCATCTTATTGCTATAAATCTTTTCTTTATCCTTACTCTGTTTTTTTTTTATTCACAAAGACTCACATAATTGTGTATCTTTATCCCTTTATCCCTTCAAGAACAGAGTGTTACTATGAAACAGGTAGCCCGAGGCTTGAGTTCTCTCTCTGCTATTAATTTGTTGAGGAACTTTTTACACGTTACTTACACTCATGGTTTTCTTATCTGTAATATGAGCATAATAAAGTGTTTACACCATAGAAATGTTGTGAAGATTACATAAAATAATGTCTGTAAAATGTTAGCATAAGGTCTGTCATATAATGTGAGCTCAAATACTATTAGGTAGCAATTCTCATGGAGAATAATTGTGAAGTGCTCTAACTAATAATTGTGAAGTCCTCTAAATTTCCCTTGTCCCCATGGTTCATTCCTAGTCAGTGGTTCCTCTGCCTTGTTCCTCCTTCCAGTGGATTGCATATCCAGATAATGTTGAACTTGGGAGCCTTCATGCTTTGATCAGTAAAATGTGAGTTGAAATTATGGATATCACTTCAAAAAAGCTTTAAGTGCCTGTGCATAATTAGTAAAATATATATTTTTTTCTTTTTCATAATGACAAAGAGTATTCCAGAAAGAGGCTACTCCTTCAGCCCAGGTTCCAGAGTAAGGATGTCATGGTAGCCATCACAAACTACCTTAGACACAAGAGTATAGTAAGAAGTAAACGATTATGAGGTTTTGAAGTTATTTGTTTCTGCAGAGCTGTCTAGTAGATAATTCATCTTGCCCAGGTATTTGCCTTGACCGCCAATTCCTTATTTTGATGTTTACAATCAACTGGGGTCTGCTCTTTTCCTATACTTCCAAGGTTTTTTTTTAATTGTCTTGTCACACATTCACTTCATCATATAAATATACTTTTGCTCTCCCTGGGCCATAGTATGTATCTTCAGATATGACAAGTAACTGTGACAAACTGATTCATTATAAAACAAAAGAGCTAAAGGAGACCTGATGATAGAAGATGTCCTGTTTGCTAAGTAACAGTGATTTCTCTAGACAATGATTGTTGCCTAATTGTTAGAAATTTCTTGCAATCACTCTAGGTAAAAAGGAAGGCCAACTTGAATCCTGAAACTGGAATGTAGAGAATCTGATTTGGATTTAGGAACACATGCATGAAGGCCTGTATAAATCCTAATGCCCCAGGATATAAGTGATGATATCTTTAGCTTCTGTGATAGCTCTACCTCCTTGTAAGATGTCTTTCTATGTGATAAAGGAGTACAAATTTGCAGGTCAAATCTTAAAACTATTACTTTAAGAAACTGGTAGATAGGTGTTATTCAGGACAGCAATGGCAAAATCCAAGCGTAGTATTCATTCTATGCCCATATTAATGTAAAGTCTTGATTAACTTTGTGTAAAAATACACTAAAATTTAATCTAAGCCTTACCTTTGAAAAATTTGCCAATTCTTGGATAAAGAAAATGTGGCACATATACACCATGGAACGTTATATATCTATAAAAAAAAGAAATCATGTCTTCTGCATAAATATGGATGCAGCTGGAAGGCATTATCCCAAGTGAATTAATGCAGAAACAGAAAACCAAATACTCTACATTTCACTTGTAAGTGAGAGCTAAACCTTGGGTACTCATAGACATAAAGATGGCAACAATAGAAAATGGGAACTACTAGAAAGGAGAGGGGGCAAATGGGGACAAGGGTTGAAAAACTAACCTATAGGTACCATGCTCACTACCTGGGAGATGGGATTATTTGTAACCCAAACATCAGCGTGATGCAATATACCCAGGTAATGAATTTGCACATGTACCCCCTATATCTAAAACAAAAATTGGGAAAAAAGAAAAGATCATTTAACAATATAAAATAAAAATAAAAACCATGTCCTCTCTCGAAAGAAAATAACCTTGCCAACCTTCTTAACTCAATAAAAAATTAATTGTGAGGATCTTATGATGCCTACTACACTGCACAGGGACTTCTGCAAATTTCTTTTCCCTATAAATAAAATTTTCTGTTGATAAGAAGGTCATGCTTCTCTGGAAAGAGCTAAAAATTATGCCGCAGGTTTACATCTCATAGATGGTTACTCCATTTCCCTTTACAACTTGGGAACTGTGGGAGGGCAGGGGTGTAGGAAATGGTGTTGCATAAAGGCCACAGATAAGATGACATATCATTTTTGTACTAAACTGGGATAAATTTGAGAGTTAAAATGCAAGCTTATGCAGCAGAATACTAGGGCAACAGCTACATCAGTACACATGCTTATTATATTCATATAGAATGTAGAAATGGGATCAGAGCTGACAAGAATAACTAGAAAAATTTCTTTGGATGACAAAGTCACTTAACAGTCTACTACCACTTCAAGTTGCCAGAGATAAATCTGTCAGGCACTTTCCAAGACTGTGACAGAGACTGTGGTGATCACCCCAATATCCATCTCCCGTTTTTCTACAGTAACAGAACTTTCAGTTGGGTACCTGTCAGTCCAGCTAAAGTTTTTGTTTGTTTTTCCTATCACTTGACTTGAAGCTAGCTTTGGCCATATGACCAGGTTTTGTCCAACAGGGAATTAGTGAAATTTATGGGTACTATGTCTTGTCGTTGATTCAAACGTCATGAAATATAGCCTCTTCTTTCCCTTGCTTCATTTCTTCCAGCTTGAATGAATGGAAGTTGACATAAGCTAAAGGAATCATCTTACACCATGACAAAATGGAGTAAGGCTGGATCCCCAAATCTCCAATGTAACAAGCCTGGAACACTTATGTGTAGAATGCTCAGACTATTAGTTGAGAGAAAAATAAAATTCCATTTTGTTCAAGCCATTGATATGTGGACTCTGCCCAGTAGCCAACTGTGTATCCTAATGAATCCAGGGTGTCTTTACTTTAGTCCTCTCACCAGAGAGAGGTACAAAGCTGAGCTAGCTCCTTGCTTTAGCAACTTATTGGGCTAAGTGAGAGGAGTCAACCAGGTGCAGCTCATGAGCCACCATGAAATGTACTTGCTTAGAGACTGCTGTCTTCTAATCATTTTCTGAACTGTGCTCTAGGTTTTTAGAATGTACATAAATAAATAAATAATTATTTCTCGTTATTCACAATTCACATTTGAATGATTTAAGTCCTGTTTCCTCATTGAGTATGGCGTTTAATCTATAGCACAGAGTTTAATTTGAAGTGAGCACAACATGTAGCTGTCACAACCTGAATGTCGCCACCAAGAGCTGAGGTTCTACCATGTCAAGAACCAGTTCTTCCAGCACTTTTCTGCCCTCAGGATCCCAATCAAGAAAGAGGTCCTAATGAACTACCTCCAGCTATGACTTTCTCAGGACAAATAATGGTGGCTTTAACAAGGGAATCCTTTTAAATCTGGCTCTCTTTATTATGCTAGTAAATCCCTGAGGTAAAATAGAGGCAGGATGCTGGAAGTTCCTTCAGAGATGCTGTGAGATCATAGAAAGAGCACTGGGTTAGGAGCCAGATGACTGTTCTGTCTGATTTGGTTTCCACCTGTTACACACCATGTGACCCTGTGCATATGAGGAGGGTTAAGGGAGTGGGGTTGCTTATTTCAGGGTATACCTAAGGAGACACTAGTTACTTGAAATATTTGAACAGTTCCTAAAGACAAGAGGCACTATTTTATGAATTAGGATATCAGAAAAAGTTTTAAAACACGGAAATTACTAGGAGACAGTTTTGTATATGTATCATAAAGGATCTTGCTGGGCGTGGTGGCACACATCTGTAGTCCCAGCTACTCAGGAGGGAGGCTCCAGTGGGAGGATCTCTTGAGGCCAGGAGTCCAGGGATGCACTCAGCTATAATTGCACCACTATACTTCAGCCTAGACAGAGGAAATCCTGTCTGTAAAAAATAAGTATAAAAGAAAAGTAAATCTTCCGCATCTTTCTCGTAATTAGTCTTGTTTAAAATTTGATTTTCCTACATCTTGCTTCTCAAATTGTAAACTTCCTGATACAGGAAGTGTCCAAAATAGAGGGCTACAGCAGGATCTCCCTGGTATTCCTCTCAAAGTTTACTTATCTGAAAAACAGATTAATAATAAAAATACTTAACTAATTTATTTAAATCAGCTTTTGTGAATACCTAGCCTTCAGTATGTATTGTAATGCTCCTTGCAATTTGAAGACAATAATGCTAATAGACAATAAAAATAGGAATGCCTGAATGCAGCCAAAGACACTAGCGCACCTTCTTCCTGTGAGATTGCCAAATGAGATGCATACCCAGGAAACAATGACAAAGGCAAGAAACATACTTGCTGGTGCTTCAATCAAGATTTCTTCTGGAGGAGAAAGCAGAGCCAAGGCCAGGTGGGCCTGAACAATAGCTCTTTCATTAGCTCTTTGGTAAAGCCTGTCCCCTCCACAGGCTGGCATTATTGCCTCCAACACAAACATCTCGTTTACCAGCTTAAAGTCTCCCTACATGATGATGTAAGCTTGAGTAGATAATGGCAGTGATGTAACAAGAGTTCAACTTCCCTCTCACCTCTTGACAGGATACCTGAGGAGACTGGCCTGGGCAAAACCACAGGATAAGAGGATCCAGGGTAAAACTCCACACAGATGTACCACACCTAACCTCCTCTGCATAGACCCCTACTTCCAGTGAGTTCTGACCCAATTCATGAGCCTCTTGTATCTAGTGCTCGTGTTCAATCTCTCTCCAGGATCCTCTCCCCTTTCTATGATTCCGATGCTGCTGATTGTCTTTGCCGAGGAACAGGAAGGAAGACAAATGCCCCCAACTACTGCTTCATTCTGGAAGAAGTGTTGGAAGTCAATGGAAGGTAGAGGGAGCTGCTCGGAGGGAAACCTGAGAACTGTTTCTGAAGGAATTTTATCAGTCTTTCGGCAGAGTCTGACCACTGCTTTCCTACCTCCCCTGCTTGATCCTGCTGGATAGACTCAGAGAGCCAAGCCAACACAAAGGAGCTCAAGCACAATTCCTTACCTTCTTATTTTGTTAGCCCAGTCGGGGGAGCCCAGTAATCTCTAAAGGGAGTTGAAAAAGTAAGGGTTTACCTTTTGGCCAAGGCTTAAATTTCTCAAATGTGTTACGCCAACACAATACTCAGTTACATGTGTATATTTCCAAAGTGTCAAAGTTATTTAATGTGGTACCAAGGTTTTTGGATCTGAAAAATTAAAAAAAAAAAGAGTAGATGGTAGGTCAAGGGGTTCAAGCCCCGACTCAGACTAAACGGTGCACAGAAAGCCTAGACACAACCTAGACACATGCACAGTGGCTCATGCATGTAATCCCAGCACTTTGGGAGGCCAAGGTGGGTGGATCACCTGAGGTCAGGATTTCGAGACCAACCTGACCAACATGGTGACATTCCATCTCTACTAAAAATACAAAATTAGCTGGGCATGGTGGTGCATGCCTGTAATCCCAGCTACTTAGGAGGCTGAAGCAGGAGAATCAATTGAACCCCGGAGGTTCACTGATCACTGCTGTAGCACAGGCATGGGCAGAGACCAAGGCATACTGGCTTCCTCATCAGAACATATCATAATCCGCAGATAATGCTGGCTTCTATGAGTTGGAAGACTGTGAAACATTGAGACTGCAATAATTGATCCACTTAAACTTTTTATTAAAGTCTGAAAAGATTCGGCAATTATTATTACTGTGGTTGTACATCATGTCATTCTTAACTAGATTTTGTAAATGTCAAACTCTTAAAAGACTAAAATAATAAACAGCTACATTTACTCGATTAGCTAAAGTGAAGTGAAATATTCAAGCTAAATAGCTAAAAAGACAGAGCAATACTCATGCCCGTGAAAATTTAAAAGGATGTTTTCAATGAAATCTCACAGGCTCTTATTTGGTTGTTTTCATCATAGCCATTGCTTTGACCTAGCCCAGTGATAATTGCTGTAATATTTCAAGTGGTTTCAGTTTATGAAAGACTTTTTTTTTTTTTTAACTTGGGGAAGTGTTGTTTTTTTTTTTTTATTTTTAAGCAATTAACGTTTAGGTTAACACCAGGAAAAAATATCACCTATACTTCTACAATTTGGGGCCGTTTCTGAGATGCTAATTTCAGACATAAAATGATAAATAAGCACATAAGTGGAAAAGTAAATGATTAAATAAGTAATCCTAAGTCTGAGGGATACTCTAAGATTATGGATTGATATGACCATGTGTAACTTGATAGATCTAGTAGAGCAGAAAATAGTAGAAATTGGTTAACGAGCTTTCATTCATATTAGAACAAGATCAAACAAAACAGAATTAAATTGGAGACACAGACATTAACTCATGGCCCCTTTGAGGGAAGAAAAAAATGTTTCAGGATTGGCTAATCACCCTGCTTCACTGTACATATTCGTGTAAAAATTACAAGATGTATCTATATAAGCGTCTAAATAAATTGGAAGCAGCAAAAATTTTGTCTCTAACACTATTCCTCACCAAACATAATCATGCATGGTGGCAGGCACCTGTAATCCCAGCTACTTGGGAGGCTGAGGCTGGAGAATCGCTTTAACCCGGGAGGCGGAGGTTGCAGTGAACCGAGATTGCACCACTGCACTCCAGCCTGGGCGACAGAGTGAGACTCTGTCTCAATAAATAAATAAATAAATAAATAAATAAATAAATAAATAAATAAATAAAATAAAATAAAGTAAAAAGTAAAAACAGTAGGTAGCTGATTGTTCTAATATCAATAATTTATTTTATTTTATTTTTTTGAGACGGAGTCTTACTCTGTCACCCAGGCTGGAGTGCAGTGGCGCGATCTCCTCTCACTGCAAGCTCTGTCTCCTGGGTTCACGCCATTCTCCTGCCTCAGTCTCCTGAGTAGCTGGGACTACAGGCGCCCACCACCATGCCCGGCTAATTTTTTGTATTTTTAGTAGAGACAGGGTTTTTCACCGTGTTAGCCAAGATGGTCTCGGTCTCCTGACCTCGTGATCCGCCCACCTCGGCCTCCCAAAGTGCTGGGATTACAGGCCTGAGCCACCGCGCCGGCCTAATATGAATATTTAATTCCTCAAGATGTACACACGTCTGGAGGTCCACGGGGGTTTTCAAAACAGACAGATGTACATTTCTGCCTGCTTTTGCAAGGAAAGTTGATTGCTATATCTAATCACATGACCCAGTGGAGTGTGGGAAATCAGGGGAATCGAATTTCAATTGTGATCTTCATACCAAACTCAGTAGGAGAACGCCCTAGGTCAAAGAGTATGAAGTCAAATATGCTTAGAGACAGGGGATAGTTGAAGCAAGCCAGTTATGGCAACAATGTAGACTGCATTATTCCAAACACGCAGTAAGAATTTGTCCCCCTCCCAAAAAAAAGGTAAAAAAAATCAGAATCAGGGGATGGAAGATGAGATAAAACTCTTATTTTGGAATGTGGTATTAAACAAGCTGATTTTGATTTAAGAAACAGAAAGTATTGGCATTTGTAAACATGTTTTTAAATGGAGCTGCATAGATTTTTAGTTTAAATCTTACAAGTGGAATGAGAAAATTAGGAGCCTTTATGCAGAAATGACGTGAGTAGGCTATGCTTTCTGAACTTCTACACTTTTCCTTGGTCCTCTGGGCTCATTGAAGGAACAGAAGGAAGCTTCATTCTCAAGACAGTCACTTTCTTAAACCACTGGTGCATGTGGCCACATTAATGCCCTAGAGCCCTATGTCAGAATAATAATTATAAAAAATAAAACTATGAAAAGAGAGAAAGAACTAAATTTGGATTTATTGGAATGTTGGGCAAAGTTTCTAGATATACGTTATTTACAACCCATGAAATTAAACTTAAGGAGGACACCGTCATCAAAGATTTAATTGTGTCACTATGTTTTACGTATCTCTATTTGAACATCTGCTTGGGTGCTCTCCGTTCTCTCTCAAAGAGTGATGGATATCATGAAACCAGATTTAGAATTTGAGTCATGCTACCCTCAGCACCACGTGATTTATCAGTGTCCACTCCCAATCCAGGATGCCACACTGCCCCTTGTTGTCATATCTCAGTCTTTGGTCTGTGACAGTTTTTCTGTATCTCCTTGATTTTTATGACCTTGACATTTTAGAAGAGGATTTTTGTAGAATGTCTCTCATCAAAGTTTGTCTGATGCTTCCTCATATTTAGATTGTGAATTTTGAGGAAAGAGAACACAAAGGAGAAGTGTGCTGAGAAAGGACTAATTACATATACTATTTGTGTTTTTCTAAAAGGGGCATTGAACTTTTCTGTCATTTATTTATTTATTCAATCGTTCCTTTACAAAGCCATGCATCACTTAATGACAGGGATATGTTTGAGAAATGTGTCATTAGGCAATTTCATTATTGTGCAAGTATTATGGAGTGCATAGCCTACTACACACCTACATTGTACAGTATCGCCTATTGCTCCTAGGCCATAAACCTGTATAGCATGTTACTGTATTGAATGCTGCAGTTAACTATAACACAATGGTAAGTGTTTGTGTATCTAAACATATAAAACGTACAGTAAAACATGGTATAAAAGATAAAAAATGGTACATCTTTACAGGGTACTTACGATAAATGAACTTTTCAGGACGGGAAGTTGCTCTGTGTGAGTCAGTGAGAGAATGAGTAATGAGTGAATGTGAAGTCCTAGGACATTACCGTAAACTACTACAAACTTTATAAACATACACTTAGACAATACCAAATTTATTAAAAAATACTTTTCTGTCTTTGTAATATATTTATCTTGGCTTACTGTATCGAGACATGCTGGTCTCGAATTCCTGGCTTCAGGTGATCCACCTGACTTGGCCTCCCAGAGTGTTGGGATTACAGGTGTGAGCCACCGCGCCTGGCCTGAAAGTTACTTCTAAAATTGTGATTAGATTCAGGCTAATTTTATTTTGCAAGACTACTTCTTAGGTGATGCTGATTACTTCATACTGTAGAATACTAGAAGGTACATAACACCTGAAATGTCTCAGCTTTAATGATACAAGAAATAATCTGTGGGTTCAGCTTGATCCTTTCTTTATAAAGGTCCTGGTCAACCTTTACTAATGATTTTACCACTCACTGATTGCCATTGTCATGATCATATCTGTCATTACAACCTGTGAGATTATAGTTTTTTTCTAATTTTTTATCCATTTATTAATTAACTAGACTTCTTAATACAAGAATTTTTCCCTTATGTACTAGCTCCTAATTTTGTTAGCCTGAAACACAATTCACATGAGAAGATCAAGATAAAGACTTAATCATTTCACTTTAATTATCAAATTCAGAAATATAATTCACATGAAAAGATCGAGATAAAGACTTAATTATTTCACTTTAATTATCAATTAATTGGTGCCCTGGCAACTTTTACTGGTTCTCAAGAGTTTTGTTTTGTTTCTCATACTCTCTAAGAAACTTAGTTCATACTCACTGCTTTTAATATACCCTATGTGTTTTAATAATCATTTAAAGACATTCTTTCTGAAGTTAAAATTTCCCCATCTTGCTCAGTGGAAGTCCTTCACTTTGGCTCTTTTGCCTCTATAGCATGACCCATGAGAGCTTCCTTGCTTTCTGGTTCAAGAAAACATTCTACCTTTATGTCATAAATTTTCTGACCCCTGCCTTGGATCAGCTACTTCTCCAAGAAGCCCTTACCTTCTTTAGTGGTAAATAGTTTTTAGAAATTATATTGGAAACTAGAGGTGATTATTGCTACTAGACTGTTATAACTCTAGGCCTTTTTCACAAAGATAGGAAATATATATTTTGTTAAAACTGGAGGTATTATGAATTTGCAATTGTATTTTCGCATCGTATTTAAGATTCCAACACTATTACTTACTATATTTGAATTTATGTAGGCAGTTCTTTTCTTCCATGCTGAAAATAATGATGACAATAATCATAACATAATTACATACTTTTAAACTTATAATCCACTCTAAAATGGGCTCAAAGTCACCTTATTCTATCACATATTGCAATTTCCTTATGTCTTCATTTTTCAGATTTGAAAATTGTATATTCTGTAGTTTGCCAAAAATTATTTAAAATTGACATCCAAAAATAAAAGAAAATGTTCTAGATATGATTTAGGTAGTCCCAGAATTAGTGAAATGGTGTTTTCCCTTTAATTGTTTTATAGAATACATAGCATCACCAACTCAGTGAGAACTTTCTTATGGAAATTCTGCTGCCCCAAGTGCCTTGTTTCTCAACATTACCTCCATGGTAGGCAGAATAATGGACTCTCAGACCTGTCCATGTCCTAATTACCTGCACCTGTGAATACATTACCTTACATGGCAAAAGAAACTGCAGATATGATGAAATCTCTTGAGATAGAGAGAATACCCTGCATCATCCAGATGCACTGAATTTAATCCCAACAGTCTTTATAAGGGAAGGATGGCAGCAAAAGAGTAAAGAAGAAGATGTGAAAACAGAAGCATAGATCAGGATGACACAGAGCCATGAGCTAAAAAATTTGGGTAGCCTCTAAAAACCAGGAAATGTAAGAGAAAGAATTGTCCCCTAGAGCCTCCAGAAGTAACACAGCCCTGCCAACACCTTCATATGAGCCCAGTGAAACCCATTTCAGACTCTGACTTCCAAAACTATAAGCTAATAAATTTGTGTTGTGTCAAGTCACTACATTTGTGATAATGTGTTATAAAAGCAGTAGTAAATTAACCCACCTGTCCACATATGTGTTCTTCATGGTATGCATTATGACTTGCAAGTATTTTATTTATTGGTCTGTGGACTTATTAAGTCCCTCTTCTCTACTGGAATGTAAGCTTTATGAAGTCAAGACTCTATGTTCTTATTGACTTATACTATTCTCACTGAGTATAATATGTAATTAGTAGTGTCAAAATAAATATTTTTGAGTGAATTAAGATGTATACAATCTAAAATTGTTCTGGTCCACATTAAACTTATGAAAGAATGAAATAACCTGAGGCTTTTGTTCTCTGAAATAAGCTATTGCCAGACCTGTTCATCTAGTAGAGGAGCAATGGATTACATGCATTACCTCCCAGCCATGCAGACTTTAATTTTGTAACTTCAATTGTGGTTTAATTACTAACTCACATGGCCACATTCTCTATTAGTCAGCAAAAGTCCTTATGGACAAGGTTAATACTGTATTTTTGTTTTACTAATAAATCCTTATATTCTAATTCAGTTACCTGATATTTATTAGATACTCAATAAATAAGTATTTAATGGATGAAAATAAATGAAGAAATGTGTTATGATTAACTCAGTAATTCATATTCTTTGACATTTATCTCCATTTAATTTCACATTTTAAACTGATTGTCCTATATTATCAAATATTTTTCTAAATTAATTTTCATTTATACATTTGCTGTATTTGATATATATTCTTCCTTTCACTCTAAATCATTTATATTTTACAATATATACTGATGACATTTGTTTAATGTGATGTGACCATTGTTTTAGGTGATGTGGGTATTGAAGCAAAGAAGATGGACAAGTTGTTATTTCTAGAAGCCCATTTTGTAGAACTAGATAGATAACAAATAAATAAATGAAAGAAAGTATCAGTTAGTGATAAGTGCCTTGTAAAGAAACCAATTTATCTAGATAATTTTGTTTTTATGGTTTGCATTCCGATTTCTGTGCTTTCAATTTTTATGCCATTCTATAGGCATGAAATGTCTTTCCGTCTCTTGTATTTGCACATGAAATAGCTTGGGTTTTGCAATTGGAAGAGTGAACTTAAGTTTGATATCCACTGGAGATTAACAATGTGACCTCATGCAGGAGTTTTAATGTGGGTGAGGCCAGTTTGCCATCTGTAAAATGGGAATATAGCACTAACATCTTCTTCACTGTGGTGCTGAGTGAACAATGCCCATTGTACATAAAGCACTCACCACAATGCCTGGCACACAGTAGGCTCTCCTTAAATATAGTCCCCTTTGTTCTTCATTTGTGTGTTCAAAACCCTGTCATTCTTTAAATCCCTGAGCACTTTTAAATCCATGTTTTTCTAAAGTCCATTTATAGCACTCTTAGCTTGTCTTGCCCTTTAGAGGATTTTCGACTTCTCTTTTGTTGTCATATATTTTCCCCTGTGTTTATGCTTTTGTCCTTCAGTCTACACTTAGCGTTTTGAAAGCAGACCTCCCTCTCCCGTCAATATTACCTTTCTTGTCTTCTCAGAAGACTTGGCGCAATGCTCACAAGAAAGATGGCTTGTGATACTAGAGAGAGCTGGCCTAGGGATGAGAAAAACTGGACTCTCATTCTGATTCATCTCATCTCTTGGCAAGTATGCAGGCTCATTATTCATGAGGTGAAGAAGCTATTACTTGCCTTTGCTATCTAGCTCACTTGTGAGGGTGCAGTATAAAAAATACAAAAGGAAACATGTGGCACAGAACCTGTTTTCAGGGCTGTATAAGATAATAACACTAAGCTAACGCTAACGATCAATAGACTGTATCAAGCTCTAGTAAGAGTTTAATTTGCCGGACACCTGTCATCTTTTCTACAACCAGGTTCTGAGAGACGGTCTGGAATAATGATGAAGAACCAGATTCTGCAGCTGGGCCACCTGGATTTGAATTCTGGCTCTGCCACTTCCTTGCTTTGTGACATTGGGAAGGTGTTCAAGCTCTGTGCTTCATTTTTCTTATCTGTAAAATGAGATTAATAATATTATCCACATCATACAAGTATCATATGTATTAAATGGGTAAAAAATTGAAATATATATATACATAGCACTATATATAAAAGACCAATTCCCCAAATCATCTTATTTAAGGTAATATAATTTTTAAAAGGAGATAGTATAGTAGAGAGTAGAGTATTTCAAGTGGTGTTCAAGGCCTGGGCAGAGCAGACAGAATTTCTAAAATGCTCAAGCAAAACCTTATTCTTATTTAATATATTATTTATTTAATTATTTTGTCTAGACATGTAGACATATTTAATATTTAGCCCCAATGTGCCTTAGCAAATGTAGTCTCTGTCCATGACTGCTATGGGAAATGGACCAGTCAATGTTAACTGAGGTAAAGCATCCTCAGTGTTACCTACTGGCTGGTCTGTTATCAGAAAAGGGCATCTGTAGGAAGGTATAGAAGAATCTTCAGCACAAATGTGGGTTCAGTTGCTACTGTATCACTTTGCAGCTGTTCTGCCTTGAGTAAATTTTGAAGATCAAATAAAATAATATTTTCTAGGAAACATGACATAGTATCAAATATAAAATAATAGTTTTGCCTTCTGAATTACAGAACTATGATTCTAGAGCCCTATTCCTTCACCCGTGATGCTACAACCTTTGCATGTGTCTTTTATAATAATCTAAGCCCATCATGTTACTCTTTTTATATGGACAAAGAAATTTGAGCCTTTATTTTTCCTACTTGATTTAATTTGTTATTTACAATCTTCGACTTTTTTTTAAAAAAAGGATAAAGCATTTATTATTTTCTTTATTTAGGATTTATTATTTCCTTTATTCAAAAATAACATTTTCTGGAGAAGTGCACATGGATCGCTCTTCATCACACAACTCATAAAGTAACTCCAAATATATTCTTGTTGTTGTTACCTTGTGGAAATATTTGTAAGACCCATATTATATGTTACATTCATTTATTTATTCATACAAGCCAAAACAAATGTATATGATAAGCCACCTACATATTTTACACAAATGATACACAAACATATTTTATGTAAATTATTCACATTGTGCTATGTTTTGCTTTTTAATTATACCCAAACACTAAGTTCTGATAGCAAAGAAAGTCAATACATGCTGAATATATGTATTGAAATATTAAAAATCTGAGAGATAAAAGAGATACAAATATTTTTTCCTCATAGAGAAAAAAATAAACTGTGAAGATAACCTGTGATGTGGAATAATAGTCGATTATATATTTAGATTGTGGAAAACATTTGGTGTAAAAATTTTTTGATAAATATTTACTGAGTTCCTGTATAAACAAGAACTGAAACGTTCTGATCCAGATAATGTAGTAAAAATGAACAGACACAGTCCTGGCTTTTTTTATTTTATTTGGTTTTTTTTGGAGACAGAGTCTTGCTCTGTCGTCCAGGCTGGAGTGCCGTGGTGCGATCTCAGCTCACTGCAAGCTCTGCCTCCCAAGTTCAAGCAATTCTCCTGCCTCAGCCTCCTGAGTAGCTGGGACTACAGGTGCACACTGCCACGCCGGGCTGATTTTTTGTATTTTAGTAGAGACGGGGTTTCACCGTGTTGTCCAGGCTGGTCACGAACTCCTGAGCTCAGACAATCCACCCACCTTGGCCTCCCAAAGTGCTAGGATTACAGGCATGAGCCACTGTGCCCGGCCAGTCCCTGCTTTTATAACTAAAATTCCAGCAGCAATTATAGATGGTACAAAGTGCAGTACTCAAAAATAGGTTATCTCCAAATTCTAGGGAAAAGAATAACAGGGTTCTGTAAAACAGAACACAGAAGAAATTCTATGTTAGATGTGTTTGTTCATAAAGTCAAAGTTTGATGAAATAGGGTAAATTGTGTCTATTTTTGATTGGCGTAAAAACAGAAATATTTACTGGCCAATGGAAGAGATAAGGAAGGAAGTGGCAAGTGAGTGAAAGAAGAATCTGAAATAAGGTTTTATGGAACAAAACCTTGAGACTGAAATTTCAGAGGACTGAGAGGAAGAGGTCTTTATGAGAATGGAAAGAAGGAATGTCTCTAAAGTTAGGCTGTAGTACATGAAACCCGAGGTGAAAATTTATAGTTAAAATTAAGGACGTGAGACGTCTACTTTCTGTCAACATGGCTTAATAGAGACTGGATTTACACTCTTGTCTAAAACAAACAAAAACAGACAAAATATATGAAGCAGCAGCTTCCAATTTGCTTAACAATGAGGAATACTGATCCCTGGAAAATAAACATGAGTGAGCCCTGTAATTATCTTGAGGGGGATTACAGGGCACAGCACAGAGACGCAGAAGCAAGGTAGAACCTGGTAGACTCAGAGTTGAGGAGAAACTTACACCCACAGTACATACCGTATGATCCCATTTATATGAAAATAAAGAACAAGCAAAGCTAATCCCTGGTGATAGTTAGTAATCACATCAGTGGTTTCCTTGACCTTAGGTTTTCTATAACTGACTGAAATTGGACTTATTAAGATAACGTAAATATTCTATAAGTAGACTTTGGCAATGTGCACGTTTAGCAAAGCACTTTGAACTTTACACAAAAAATGGGTTTACATAAGCGCATGTAAATTATATCACAATAAAGTGAATTAGAGATAAAAAAAGGTAAGCAAATCAAAGTATAGTTTCTATAATGCAAGAGGTAAGGATTTAAATACTGTTGGTATAGCAACTTTCAAGAAGCTATTAATTTACATGTACTAACCCAAGAAAGCACATGAGCAGGTTATTCATCATTACAGATGACTGTCATTTAGAAAATAGTATTAACTATGGTGAAACCAGTTATTTGAGTGACTTATATGCATCTACTTTAACTTGGATCGATCTGTTATTAGCATGAGGTACACGAGGGTTTAGCCTACACTTAAATTGACAGTACTCTTATTGTACCACATTCAAACACTGAGCAATGCAACTCATAGGCAATGACATTTCATGCATAGGAATTTAGATGAGTCACTCTTTCAAGTACTTAAGCTAACAAATTAAATTTTCTCTGCTCAAAATCCTTCCAAATATGCATAAGAAGTTTAGAGTCAGAAATTCACTCTATTTACACCAGTAGTATTTATTATCTTGTGCCATAGATATATTTTAGTTTGCTTACATGTAACCACATGTTTCAAAATTTTATTCTAAAATAAACTTTAACTATTACATTAACTAGTAATCCAGCTAAATTCTTTCCCCTCATATCTACACCACCAATCATCTAAACATAGGATTTTTATTTTTAATTTTTTTATTTTTACTTTTATATACTTAGGGGTACAACTGATATTTCTTACATGAATATACTGCAATGTGGTGAAGTTGGGGTTTTAGTGCACCCAGCACCTGAATAGTGAAATTGTATCCAATAAGTATTTTTTTTCAAACCTCATCCATTCTGTCACCTTTTGGAGTCTCCACTGTCTATTACACCACTCTGTATGTCGATGGTACCCATTGTTTAGGTCCCATTTATAAGTGAGAACACATGGTATTTGACTTCCTGTGTCTGAGTTACTTCACTGAAGATAATAAGATAATGACCGTCGATGTTACTGCAAAGAACTGGACTTTATGCTTTTTTATGGTTGTATAGCATTTAGTATTCATATATATATATATATATATATATATATATATATATATATCACTTTTTTATTCAATCAACTGTTGGTGGGTACTTAGGTTGCTATTGTAAGTAGTGCAGGGATAAACATATATGTGCAAGTGTCTTTTTAATATAATGATTTCATTTCTTTTGAGTAGATACCGAGTAGTGAAATTGCTGGGTGAAATGGTCATTCTATTTTTAGTTCTTTGGGATATCTATAGAGTTCTATTTTCAGTTATTTGAGTTTTCTATAGAGGTTGGGAGCTAAACAATGGGGACACTTGGATATAAAGATGGAGAAAATAGATTCTGGGGATTCTAAAATAGGAAAGGGTGGGAGGGTTGAAAAATTACCTGTTAGGTACAATGTTTACTATTAGGGTGATACATTAGAAGCTCAATCTCCACCATTACCCATGTAATACTCATGTAACAAACAAGCACATACACCCCCTGAATCTAAAATAAATAAATAAAAAGGCTTTATGTCCTTTCCTTCATTCCCATGATTTGCTCCTCTTAATTTTGTTCCTATTATTCTCAGTGTCTGAATTGTCCAGGTCTCTCAGCTCTACTTTGTACAGATACACCGTTGTGGTCTTTCAACTTAAGTAATCAAATCACATTTTTCACACCCCTTGACTTCATTATCTTGAGTAAGAGGTTCATTTTCTGGAAGTGTCAATTTCCTCATCTGCAAAGCTAGGATGCAAATGCTGTTTTTCTAGTGTTGTCTGGCTGGTTAAACAGCCTACTATATTACCTAGAAGAGGGCAAGCTATCAGCAAATTAGCAACCTCTTTCAGTGCTTATTTAAACGTTTTTATCCTGCAGATTCTGGGAAGATTTTATGTTACCTATGTAAAATCTTCCTGATTGCTTCAGATTATATTTAATTCTCCCATCTCTGATACCTCATAGCATCTTAGTCCATTTTCTCCTGTATTGTCATACAATATTTTCCTGTGTTTATGCCTTATCAGTGCCAAATTATTTTAAATTCCTCAAGGGCAGGCACTGAGTCCTATTTTACCAGCTGATTTTCTTCATGTAATCAACCACAGTGCTAGGATGAGGAACATGTAGCATATCACACAGAGCCTAGGATTGAGTGAGAGGCCCCTTGTGCCAGGTGCATCTCTGAACCTCTGGTAATTAGTATTTTTCATAAAATGGACATATATTTCATCTTGTCTACTATAGAGAAATCTGTAAGCATTTTATAAAGAAATATAAGGTACCAGGGTACCTTCTTCCTTCAAGACTATTGCTAATTTAAGAGCAGCCTCTTTTAGATATGGCCAGGCAATGATTTTATATACATTATCTTAAATAGTCATAATAAATCTAGGAATAGTAATGATATAGATGCGGGAAGTGTCTGAATGGGGAAACTGAGGCTTAGATAGTTTTAACTAAGTCATTCATCATCTCATGCAACTAACAAAGTACACTTGAATGGGTGATTTGACTCCAAATCTGGGAAGAGGGGAAGGCTTCTGAAAAAAAAAATCTTACATTTGATTTGTGCTCCCACTAATGTATAGTCACTAGATATGTTCCAGAATGTTTATACCCAAGAACAGAGGAATGAAAGATGGAACATTGAGTATCTTCAAAGAGTTATAAATGACATAAGTAAAGGTGGCAACTAGATAACTTATGCTTTCATGTCATAACTGCTCCCTACTCCCACAAAAGTAACAAATACTCTTTTCCTAATGACAAATCTGAATTGCTAGTGCAAATAAAATTCCAGAAATCTGAAACGAGCCTAGATCTAAATTTTCAAGTCATCACTCATCCTTTAAAACACTACCTGTTGCTTATCATGTAATTTATTTATTTTATGATAATTATATCTCAATTCAAATTATATTCTGGAGTAAGTGCCTTTACAAATAGGGTAGTAGATAATTCCACTTTTAGTTATTATGAGGTCTCTATTCTCTTCTTGTAGTCTTACCAGGCTTACACATACTTGAGTGTTTTCCAGAAAAACAGGAAAAGGAAATCCTGCCTTTTCCATTCAAACATTATAATCATGGGCACTTTCATTTTGAAGTCAGCAATAGAGTGGCATATCTAAGAGTTCTCTGCTTAGCTTTGAGAGATCTGGGAAGCATATGTGAGTTTGGGAATCCTCGTGCTTACAGTTTTGCTTTCTAGAGGTATCAGTTGGCCACCAGCTATTGTCAGGCACCATCTCCTGTACTTCCATAGAATGGTGTGCTTTCCTGGCTGGTGGAGAACCAGGATAATATTCTTCTCTCTGTGATTTCCACAGTGATGTTCCATTCTTTCTGTGATTTGTCTTCTTCTTGTTCCAGATCCCAGTTTCATTCAGACCATCTCTAATTTCTATCCTGCCATAAATATTCCCTAAAGCAAGAGGACACAGAGCCTGCTATAAGCTAGATTGGAAAAGTAGGGAGAAAAAGAAAAAAAAGTCAAAGAAGTCAAAGATTAAAATCTCCACAATGTTTGACTATATACTACCAAGATAGAAATGTCTATTCCCAAGAAAATAAATGCAATTATTTGCCAAGAAAGCAGAAAGCAAATTGGCAGACTTCAGGTAAAATGTGAACCACAGGCAAGCTTTGTTTAATTTTCACAGTGTTTTAAAACAATAGTAAACCAACTGAAAGTATTTTTAAAATTAGAGATAAAGTACCCTTAAAATGAAAAAGTAAACTGAATTTTCATTCTCTTAGCCAAAATTAGTTGGGTCTGAGGAGCCCTGCCCCTTCAGAGAGGACTACCCTTACCAGATAGGCACAGCCTCCCCTCTCCAATTCACCTCATTTGGTGTATTCCTGGGCCCATGGGCACATAAGCTGTAGCACCTTGCCCAGATTTTAAATATTTATCAAATTATGTCACATATATAAGCTAATACAAATATTTTACCAAAGATGTGATTCCCCCAATCTTCTGAGAATATTTTTCTTTAAAGAACTCTTAAAATATTTTGTATACATTTAATGAGTATATGTGTCTCTCCTACTATCATACAACTTCTAATAGGGTAGGAATTTTTGTCTGTTTTTGGTCATTACTACATCCCCAGCATCTATAATAATGTATGGCACATAGACTTGGGTCTCAGTAAATAACTATGCTGAATATTTATGTTGAATGAATTGATGAGATGAATAGGGGATTTTACATGGACATATATAATAATTGAGGTGCTTCCTTTATGCCAGGGGCTATTTTAATGACTTATATTTGTTCATTAAATACTTGCAATAAAACTGCAAGGTAGGAATTATCATCAAACCTATCTGGCAGATGGGAAGACTAAAGCTTGGTTAATTTCCTTTCCTAAGATCAGCAGTTAAAATATGGATCCAACCATTCTGGCTTCAGAGTCTGTGCCCTTAATCTTTGTAATACAGTGTTACTTAAAATGGTGCCATCTGAAGAAAAAGAGCCTTACGTAACAAAGCACTTTTATTCCAAATAGCAAAACTGCTTCATACACCATTTCTGCGTCTGGAGACTGCCTAGAGCTTAGGTAAAAAACAATGAAAGGAAGGTAAGAAGTCTTAGTCCATCTCACACCCATTAGGATGGCTATTATCAAAAGAACAGAAAAATAATATGTATTGGTGAGGACATGGAAAAACTGGAACGCTTCTGCTTTATATGTGGGAATGTAATACAGTGCAGCTGCTATGGAAAACAGCATACCGATTTCACAAAACAAAATGAAATAGAATTACTCTATGATTTGTCAGTTCCACTTCTGGGTATATATTCAAATAATTGACAGCAGAATCTCAAAAACATATTTGTATACCATGTTCATAGCAGTGTTATTTACAATAGCAAAAGGGAAGAAATTTGTGCTCAATGAAGAATGGGTAAACTAAAATGTGGTACATACATAGAATGGAGTATTATTCAACTTCAGAAAGAAAGGAAATTGTGACCCATGCCACAACATGAATAAACACCGAGGACATTACACTAAGTGAAATAAGTCAGGCATCAAAAAATGAATACTGTATAATTCTACTTACATGAGATACCTAGAGAAGTCAAATTCATAAAGACAGAAAGTACAATGTTAGTTGCCAGGGACTGATGGAAGGAAAGGATAGAGAGTTACTGTTTAAGGAGTATAGAGTTTCAATTTCCCAAAATGAAAACAACTACAGTTGGATGATATTGATGGCTACACAGCAATGTGAATGTACTTAATGCCACTGAACTGGATACTGTAAAATGGCTAAGATGGTAAATTTTATATTATGTGTATTTTACCACAATTTAAAAAAGGAACTCTTAGTACTTGATTTAGGTGGCACAACTACCCTATACTGTGATTTTACTTTCCATTTAAATCTCAGTGAATTAAAGATTGTTTACTGCATGTGTTTAGCTCTGTGTGTGCCTTCTCAATTCTCTCCTATTCTTGTTTCTCACCCACCAAGGAATGGTAAAGCAATTTTCTTATGGGCACAGTTCATGCTACAATCTGAGATTCAATTGTGTAAAAATACCTTGGGAAATGACAATAGTTAACAGCTTCTTGGGCAATAATTATAAATACACATGTGTAGGTGTAAGTATTGTTCATTGATCTGTGTACACGCCCTGCCTAAAAGGATAGAGCTACCTTGCCTGTCATTGCAAGTGTAACACACATTGCAAGTGCCAACGTGAGGAGCCATGGCTGGTGAGTCTTCCCCAGTAAGAGGATAGGTCTTAGGGAGGAATTAGTTTGGGAAAGGACTGCCTTTCTCATTAGGCTTTGTGAAGGTTTGTGTGGGCAGCCTTGGGGTGGAGAGAGAAAGAAGAAGGGAGAGGCAGGGTGGGAAGATGCCCAGACTTGCACAGCGTTTTTGAAGGAACAGATAAAGGCCAGGAAGAATCTGGGATCCTACTGGTATCTGCTATAATTTTGCTAGTGTTGTCCACATTTGAAGAGTTATGTAGTTCAGGATGAGAATGGGCACAGGATGGGTATCAGTAGCTGTTGTTCTCAAAGGAAACAGTCAATTCCCTTCAAAATTCATGAAACTGTCAATTCCCTTCAAAATTCAAGAAACTGGGATGTGTCAGAATAGAATGACTTCTGATTTTTAGGAGATTCACAGAAAAATCATGAAGTCAAGTTTCCCAGGTCACTCAGTGAGCATATGTAGGTAATGCTAGAATCAGAAGGAAGTACGTGGAGTAAATGCAAAGGTATAAGACCGTTCCTTGGGATTACTGTACTTGTGGAGAGAAATGTTTAAATGATTGTTACCCTGTTGGTAAATTGAGAGGGAAATTGTGTCATGTTCATTATTTGAGGAATCTTTGTGCTTCCAACAGACCAACTCTTGCGTAAAAAGAGAAGAATTTTTATCCATTCAGTGGGTGCAGGCACAATAAATGCCTTGCTGGATTGCCTATTAGAGGATGAAGTTATTAGCCAGGAAGACATGAACAAAGTGAGAGATGAAAATGACACTGTCATGGATAAGGCTCGAGTCTTGATTGACCTTGTTACTGGAAAAGGACCCAAGTCTTGCTGCAAATTTATCAAGCATCTCTGTGAAGAAGACCCTCAACTTGCCTCAAAGATGGGTTTGCACTAAGGTAAGGTGGAATGATTCAACCTAATGTCCAAATAGGCCCTGTATCTTGAATTCAGTTATGATTTTCTTCACTTGTCTTGTCAGTTGATAATAGGGTTCCTATCATTTTAGCCTCAGACTCCATTCCTTTATGCATGGCTCTAGCTTATGTCTCTTCTGTCTACGTTTTTGTGTCCCTTGTACCTGTTCTCTCAGTACTCCCTGCTGACCACAGCTCATCTCTAATTCTATGTAGGTGGTAGATCATTACTGTAGTTCATTTAAAGAGCCTAGATGTTTTATCCTGAATCTTTTAATGGTCCTGGGGAGCAATGTACAATATCACTCCCTCTTGAGCCTAAGAAGCCCATGTATTTATTAGAAGAGAAGGTATAAGCTCTTTTTGTACCTACCACCCTGCTCTTACCCCATCTCCCTATTAAGTACTTTTCAGAATATACAATGATGATGGAATTGTCAAAGAATAAATTGAGTGTGTATATAAAATTAAATATGCACTAAATAATTATATTTGCATGAAATTATATATGGATTCTCGTTGGAAGTCATCTCCTTTGCCTTTTCTTTTGTGTAATATGGTCTACTTGCATGGGGCTAGTCTACAGACCATTCTCTGTAGCCTATCCCTTTGTATTTCTAGGCCTCCTAAGAGCCCTGATGCAGGCTCTTGTATCTGAGCTGGCCCATTCCAATACCACTTTTCTCCCTCCACAGAGAGAAGATGGAACTCTGGAGCACTTCAGAGACTTCCCAGAGCTTCTTCCAAGGGAGAAGATATTCTCGTGAAAGAAAAAAACAAAACAAAACAACAGTGCTTTTTTCAAACCTGATTAATTTCATCAATTTCCAATAAATCTTTCATTCTCTCATATTACTTTCTTCTTATTCTTTCTCTCCTCATACCAACAGAGGATAATTCATCAATAATAATGAAGGTCATGATGATTGTAATGTAATTAAGAAAGTCCCTCCCTTTCCCTTCCTTTCTGTTTAGTTCCTTTGCAATCCTGTAGAGACATGTACAGCTTACTTTGGTGCTTTTAGCACTGAGAGTCTGCTGTGATGGGAATAAAATGAAGTCCCAGCTCAGAATTTTAAATAGCGTTGCTTCTTTGTAATGTTCTCATCTAGTTGTTCAGACCCAGGTCTATGACAATTACTCAACAAAATAAACACAACTTCCTTTCTGGGAAAATAATAGAGAAAAATCCATGGCAGATACTCCATTGCCAGACATCAGGCTTCCACAAAAAAACTGTTCATAAAAGCACTGATAGCATTTCAAGTCCACATGGGCAGGGTGAAACAAGATATGACTTAATGTCTGAGGAATGGAGATTTGTGGAGTCAAGATAGTGTGATGGCATGTCATCGCTTTGCACCCTTCAGAGCAAAACACTGGCTATTAATTATGCTTAAGCTGTCTTTTCCCTGTGTATATAGTGTTAAATAATGAAGCATTGTCTTCTAGATGCCTCAGGATGTCTTCTAATTTGTTAGCTCATGTCAATTTCTAAAATTTCTGGCATAGGTGCTAACAAAGCATTGGGTGCCAGGAACAAAGGCCAAAAGAATTTCCTGAATTTTTTAGGTTTGTGCACTTTTTCCAAGCTCTTTAGCAAACTAAAATAAAACTTAATGTGATTCCTCTCCTTTCTGAATTTGTCAGCCATAAATTACGGAGAAAATAATTATTATAGGTTGACACCAAATACAGTAAATGGGAATGTTTGTTACTTTCTTCTACAGAAGAGGTATATGCCACTGACCGGAAGTGTTTATTTGAGATAAGTGATTAAGGTTAGGGCTATTCTCATTTGCAATCAGCTGGTTTATTTGAGAAAACACATTTTGAGGGTGATATTGTTTGTCTCTGTGTCCCCACCCAAATCTCATCTTGTAGCTCCCATAATTACCACGTGTTGTGGCAGGGACCCTGCGGGAGATAACTGAATCACGGGGACAGGTCTTTCCTATGCTGCTCTTGTAACAGTGAATAAGTCTCATGAAATCTGATGGTTTTAAAAATGGGAGTTTCCCTACACAAGCTCTCTCTCTTTGCCTGTTGCCCTCCATGTAAAATGTGACTTGCTCCTTCTTGTCTTCTATTATGATTGTAAGGCCTCCCCAGCCATGTGGAACTGTAAGTCCACTAAACCTCTTTCTTTTGTAAATTGCCCAGTTTCAGATATTGTCTCGGAATAATACACAGGGATTTACATTTTGAGTGTAGTTTGGCAGTATGCTCAGTATTCAAGGGAACAAGTTTGAGGTGAAGATAGGTCTGTCATAAGCTCAGTGATCATTTGGAAATTATCTTAACCTTTTTGTGGCACAAATTCCTTATATGTAAAAAGGAATTAAAAACACCATCCACATAGAGTCTTTGAAAGAATGAAATGGGTTTACAAAGGGCTAAGCCCAGTTCTTGCCAATGAATGAGCAAGAAATACATTTTTCCTGCATGTATAATAATTTTATTGGTATATTCCTTTATAGAGACATAGAATCATGATACAGAGTAAAGGATAAAAGTCCAGGGAATAAAAATCATAACCCATATAATTTTTCTTTAACTCCATATAAAGTACAAAACCTATAAATAATCAAATCAAGACTGTAAAAGTCTGTCCAGCCTATATAATTTATGTGAGGATTAGGGCAGCTCATGAGTATCCTCACCTTCAGTAAAGCTGTTAGAGTCAATTAGTGCCCCTGCTAAGAACCTGGGATAATTTATGCTGGACAGCAACAGGCAATGAGCAGTGATGTCTGCGAGGTCACTGAAACGAAAGACTTAAAGGAGTAGCTCAATCTGTGAGTCTTTTTTACTACCTAACCTGACTTGATCCCCTGAAGCCGAAAAGTAGCTAAACACAATGTGTTTTCAGTCAACCCTAGTAAACGTATATCTAGATCAAATAGTGGAATCTAAAACAAAACAAAACAAAAACACACAGTTCAAAACAATTCCTTTACTTCTCTTGAATCTCCCCTACCTCAACCAGATAATCATCCATAAGCTCTTCTCACAAAAGTATTTTGGAGCCACCACTGTTGGAGCCAGACAATTCTGGGGGCATGTAAGTTACACCTCTATTTAAAACAAAGCAATAGCTTTCCCGTGTTGGCCTTTAACACGACCAACAAATGTTATTCTCTGTGGCCTCCTTACCTATCCAGCCTCCTCGTGGAGTGCATTAACATTGTGGAGTGGAGTGCTAAGCTCTTGATGCAGACTCTTTCCTAATTTCCATGTCTGCACATTTCCCATCTCACTCTATTTCCTCTTATCAGAATGCTCTTCTCTTCAACCCATGCCTAACTTTTTATGATGCAGTCAGATGTCACTGCCCTATGGAAGCATTTATTGACACTGACTGGCTTGCATTCTTCTGATTATTTGCTTTTCTAATAACAGCTAGCTTTCAAGGAGGTCTTTACTGTGTGTCAGCACTTAGTATCTTCTCATTTATTCTCCACAACAGCCTTATTAAATTATTACAATTAGTATAACTTAGTCCCACTTTTCAGAGATAACTTGCCCAATACCACAAAGCTAAGAGGGAGCTGTGACATTAATGGCTGTGTATTCAAGACATCAATACATGGCATAAATAATGTCACTTACCTCCTGATCATAACACCTATCATAGATTGGAAGAGGTTCTATTTTTTATTTTAATATGGTTATTTGTGTAAATTTTCTATCCTAAATCATACATATAACTCCATGAGGACTTTGGGCACTTCTTTTGTTTGTTTGTTTGTTTGTTCGTTTGGCAGAGTTTTGTTCTTGTCGCTAGAGTGCAATGGCACGATCTCGGCTCACTGCAACCTCCACCTCCCGGGTTCAAGCAATTCTCCAGCCTCAGCCTCCTGAGTAGCTGGGATAACAGGTGCCTGCCACCATGCCTGGCTAATTTTTGTATTTTTCGTGGAGATGGGGTTTACCATGTTGGCTAGGCTGGTCTCGAACTTCTGACCTCAGGTGACCCACCCACCTCTGCCTCCCAAAGTGCTGGGATTACAGGCAGTGCACCCAGCCTAATTTTTGTTTATTATTTTAGCCTCAGTGTCAAGCATAGAACCTGGCATATCATAGACATCTTAGCAAATATTTATTGACTTTTTTTTGAAAATTTTCAAGACTTAGGGGAAAATATTATTGATTTTCACAAGTATTTGTGATTCAGGGATCAAGGAGACATTTCTATTAACTGCCTTTTCCCAAAAGAAGAGCAAAAGTTTCTGTGAGTTGTATGAATTCTGTAATCCCTGATCTTTAAACATCCCTAATCTCTAAACATGTTCTTCTGAGTAAGTTCACTCATTTATCTAAGTTTTCATGCTGGAGGTAGGTACCCTGTGTTTGGGTGAAAGAAAGAGAATCACTTAACTACTTTCTTCTGTAATAAATCTTTGCAAGGCTGGATTCCCAGTGGAGATGACTTTTTCTTCTACATACACTTTTTCTTCTTTTTTTTCTCATAGCTCAGTCACCTCTGAGATGGACAGCACCATGGTGAAAATACTCCTTATGTGGTTTTGGTCAGTTTTGGAGTTATGAAAACATACCTATTTCTAGAGATGATTTTCATTTTAAGGCATTAATCAGCAAATCCCATTATTTCCAGATAGTTACAGCTTGAAATGAATAATCGGCTAGACAATGAAAGGAATTGTTAGTGAAAAATACACAGTGTATTTGGGAGAATAATCTTCAGGATTGATAAGTGACTGTTTTAATAGCAATCATCTTTCCTCAGAGTCTCATTCTATAAATGAACACAGGATGCAAGGCTTCTTAGCAGTGGTTCCTTTCTTTACGGTAATGAAGGGCATTTTCAGAGCAAGTATACCCCTTGAGCCCATCTCCTTTAGTATTAACCACTGATCCACATAGTCAATTGATGGAGAGGAAAATGGAGATTTCTCAGGGATTGATTCTCAGCCTTTCAGCCTTACTCAAGAGATGCTGTCTTTGAACCATCTCATCCATTCCCATAGCTTAAGTTTCATCTATAGACTACCTTTTCCTACCTCATATTCTCAAGTCCAAACCACTCTTCTGATTTCCCAACATCCCTCTTTAGCTGCCTATTGGTCTTCTTTAATTATCTCAAACTGATTATGCCCGAAGCTAAACTCATCATCTTCCCCCAAAGATGTTCCTCTTCCAATTTACCCTTTCTGCAAATCGCACAACCACCTACTCAGCATTTCAAATAGAATCTTCCAAATAATCATGGGAACTCTTTTTCTCTTGCACTCCAGCATTCAAGCAGTGGAAAATGTTCTTATTGTTTAGTCCAGTGTATACCAATTTTTTATCCCCCTGCTACCTCTATTTTAGACCCGTTGCCTTAACAGTATCATACATTTCCTCTGCTGTGATTTTCATTGCTTATTTATTTATTTATTTATTTTGAGACGGAGTCTTGCTCTGTCACCAGGATGGAATGCAGTGGCGTGATCTCTGCTCACTGCAATCTCCGCCTCCCGGGTTCAAGCGATTCCCCTGATTCAGCCTCCTGAATAGTTTAAAAAGTAGTAATATTTATTCAATAGATAAAAACTTACTGCACATATACTATATTCAGGACAGTGTTTCACTGACTGAGAATACTTGGATATATAAGACAAATAAGCTCCTTGCTTACCTAGATCTTAAATACATTGATTATTTATAAGAGAATTATTATTTATTGAAGATGAAAGCACCCTTAAAATTCTCTCTGTATTTTGTAATAAATTCATTCAAAAATGTGTTATGGCTCAAACATGATAGACATGTGTTTCTTACTCAAGGCAATTCACAAAGAATATTTCTAAACAGTGAATGGCTCTCTTCCAAGAGGTGAGTCAAGAACTAAAGCTGTTTACATTTTTGAATTTAGACTCTTTGCTACCAACGTCAAAGTTATCTTTCATCCAGTTGATGGAAAGAGATATGGCATGGTGTGTCAAGTGTGGGAGGTTAAAAGAACAAAAACCAAACACCGCATGTTCTCACTCATAGGTGGGAATTGAACAGTGAGAACACTTGGACATGGAAGGGGAACATCACACACCAGGGCCTGTTGTGGGGTGGGGGGAGGGGGGAGGGAAAGTATTAGGAGATATACCTAATGTAAATGATGAGTTAATGGGTGCAGCACACCAACATGGCACATGTATACATATATAACAAACCTGCACATCGTGCACATGTACCCTAGAACTTAAAGTATAATAAAAAATCATTATTCATTTTATAACCTATCCCTTACAGCGTTTTGAGAAGTCCATGATGAATTTAAAGTGTATGTATCAACAGAATTCACATATATATTTAAGTTTTGCCCCAAAGAACATTTCCAGATACTAAGCAAAGAGATGTCTGGAAAGATGATATGATCAATGCATGAAATTGGGAGAGAGAAGAGGAAGGGGATAGAAAAATTTCCCTTTAACATACATTTTTCTGAGGATTCAAAAATAAAACTTTTCTAAATTACCATACAATAGTATGAGGTCATGTTCCTCACCCAATATTCATATCACCTTCCACCCCAAGCTGAAATAGAAATCTAAAATCACTTTTATTTATTAATTGATCCTTATGCTAATTTAATATTTATTATATGATGGGATAATGTGCAATTTATATATTCAATATATATACTACAATGTCTAGCTATACTTATAAGTAATCTAATTGGGAATTTCAGCCCTGCAAGCACAAAATAACTAATAATACTATGAGGTAATATATGTTGATATGTTCAAAATGTAATTTAAATAATAATGCTGAAATGGACCTGAAAGTCTTGAGTGTGATAGGTTGAAACAAGTAGAGAATATTTTCTATTTTTATAAAATTTTATATGGAGCTTGAATATTGAGTGAGAATTAGAGAGAAAGATTAAAAAATTGAAAATAATTTACTCAAGATTTTTCAAGATTATAGAAAAATCAACATCATTGGTCATCAGAAAAATGCAAATCAAAACCATAATGAAAAACTGTTATGCATATATTAGAATTGCTAAAATTCAAAGGCTAGCAATACTGGCAAAGACATGAATTAATCAAAACTCTAATATATGCATAACAGTTAGATTACTTGCTTCCCATTTGCCTTCCAATATGATTGTAAGTTTTCTGAGGCCTCCCAAGCCATGCTGAACCAATAGTTAATTAAAACTCTCCTTTATAATTACCCAGTCTTGGGCAGTTGTTATAGAAGTATGAAAATGACTAATACAGTAAATTGGTACCAGGAGTGAGATGCTGCTATAAAGACACTTGAAAATGTGGACGTGTCTTTGGAACTGGGTATCAGGCAGAGGTTGGAACAGTTTGGAGGGCTCAGAAGAAGAAGAATACAGGCTGATGTGGGAAAGTTTGAAACTTCCTAGAGACTTGTTGAATGGCTTTGACCAAAATGCTGGTAGTGATATGGACAATGAAGTCCAGGCTGAGATGAAGATGGACTTCAGATGAAGATGAGGACCTTCTTGGGAACTGTAGTAAGGGTGACTCTTGCTATGCTTCAGCAAACAGGTTGGTGACATCTTGCCCCTGTCCTAGAGATCTGTGGAACTTTTAACTTGAGAGAGATGATTTAGGGTGTCTGGAAGGAAAAAGTTCTAAGCAGCAATGCATTCAAGAGGTGAATTGGGTGCTCTTAAAAGCATTAAGTTTTATGCATTCACAAAGAGATGATTTGGAATTGTAACTTATGATTAAAAGAGAAGCAGAGCATAAAATTTTGAAAAATGTGCAACCTGATGATGTGATAGGAAAGAAAAACTCATTTTCTGAGGAGAAATTCAAACCAGCTGAAGAAATTTGCATAAATAACAAGGAGCCAAATGTTAATCTCCAAGACAATGAGGAAAATGTCTCCAGGGCATGCTAGAGGTCTTCATTGGCAGCCCCTCCCATCACAGGCCAGGAGACATAGGAAGAAAAAATGGTTTCATGGACTGGGCCCAGGGCTTTGCTGATTTGTGCAGTCTCAGGATTTGGTGCCCTGTGTCCCAGCCTTGACTAAAAGGTGCCAATATACAGCTCAGGCCATTACTTCAGAGGGTGCAAGCCCCAAGCATTGGTGGCTTACACGTGGTGTTGGGCCTGTGGGTGCACAGAAGTCAGGAACACGTTTGGCAACCTCCACCTAGATTTCAGAAGATGTATGGAAATGACTAGATCTACAGGAATGTTTGCTGCAGGGGTGGAGCCCTCATGGAGAACTTCTGCTAGGGAAGTACAGAAGAGAAATGTGGGGTTGGGCCCTCACAAGGAGTCCTCACTAGGTCACTGCCTAGGGGAGCTATGAGAAGAGGGCCACCATCCTCCAGACCCCAGAATGGTAGATCCACTGACAGCTTACACTGTTCACCAGGAAAAACAACAGACACTCAATGACAGCTCATTAAAGCAGCCAGGAGGGGGGGCTGTACCCTGCAAAGCCATGGGGGCAGATCTGCCCAGGACCATGGGAGCCCACCTTTTACATCCATGTGACCTGAATGTAAGACATGGAGTCAGAGGAGATCATTTCGGAACTTCAAGATTTGACTTCCCCACTGGATTTCAGACTTGCATTGGGCCTTTCCCCCTTTGTTCTGGCCAATTTCTCCCACTTGGTATTTACCCAATGCCTGTATCCCATTGTATTTAGGAATAACTAACTTGCTTTTGATTTTACAGGTTTACAGGCAGAAGGGACCTGTACCTTTTGGGGGACATCTCAACAGTCTTCCAGAGTCTTAATTGATTCAGAATTAATCCAGACATCAAAGTCCAAATTCTCAGATGAGACTGGAATAAATTAAGACTCTGTGGTACTGTTGTCAAGTCATAACTGGTTTTGAAATGTAAAAGGGACATGAAATTTTGGAGGGACCAGGGGCAGAATGATATGGTTAGACCTTGTGTTCCCACCCAAATCTCATCTTGAATTGTAATTCCCATAATCCCCATGTGTCAAGGGAGAGACAGATGGAGATAACTGAATCATGGGGGCATTTTCCTCCATGCTGTTCTTGTGATAATGAGTTCTCATGAGATTTCATAATTTTATAATGAGCTATTCCCCCTGTTCTTGAACTTCTCCTTCCTCCCACCTTGTGAAGAAGATGCCTTGCTTCCCCTTTACCTTCTTCCATGATTGCAAGTTTCTTGAGGACTCCCCAGCAATGCCAAACCATGAGACAATTAAGCCTTTTTCCTTTATAAATTCCTCAGTCTCAGACAGTTCAGCATGAAAACGGACTAATACATTCCAGATCTTAGAGCAATAGCTTTCCTTATGCAGTATGATGTTGGCTTGGATTTGTCACATGTGACATTCATTGTATTGAGGTACATTCCTTGTATAAAAAGCTTGTTGAAAGTTTTTATCATGAAGGGATGTTGAATTTCATCAAATGTTTTTCATACATCCATTTATATAATCATCTGATTTTTGCCCTTTATTCTGTGGATGTGATGTATGATATTTTATTGATGTTCATATGTTAAACTATTCTTGCATCTTTTGTATAAATCCTACTTTATCACGGTGAATGATTTTTTTAATGTGCTGCTGGATTTAGTTTTTTATTGATGATTTTTGCATCTGTATTCATAAGGGATATTGGCCTGTAGTTTTCTTTTCCGTGTGTTTCTCCCTGACTTTGGTATCAAGTTAATGTGAGTCTTTAGAATGAGTTTGAAAGAATTTTCTCCCCCTCAATTTTATGGAGGAGTTTGAGATAAATTTGTACTAGTTCTTTTTTAGATGTTCAGTATAATTCCACAGTGAAGCCCTAGGTTCTTGGCCTTTGCTTTGGTGAGAGACTTTTCCTCACAGATTCAATCTCATTACTTGTAATTGGTTCTGGTTTTCCATTGCTTCTTGGTTCAATCTTGGCAGCTTATATGTGTCCAGGAGTCTATCTATTTTTATGAGGTTTCCTAATTGGTCAGTGTAAAGTTGTTTGTATTAATAACAGTTGTTAATGATACCTTTTATTTCTGTGATATCAGTTGTAATGTCTCATTTTTTGTTTCTGATTTTATTTATTTGGGTGTTCTCTCTTTTTTCTTTGTTTACTTAATAATTTGTTAATTTTGCTTAGCTTTTTAACAAACTGGCTTTTCATTTTGTTGATCTTTTGCATTTGTTTTAGTACCAATTTTGTTTCTATGGGCTCTGATCTTTACTATTTTATTCCTTCAGCTAATCTTTGTTTTAGTTTGTCCTTTATCTTGGTTTTAGTTTGTCCTTTAGATATATCGTTATGTTGTTTATTTGAAATATTTCTACATTTTGTTTTGAGAAAATATGTCACTTTGTCACCCAGGCTAGAGTTTAGTAGTGTGGTCATAGCTCATTGCAGCCTGATCCTTCCACCTCGGCCTCCTGAGTGGCTATGATTACAGGTGTGTGCCATCACACCGAATTATTTCTACATGTATCATGTAGATACTTATTGCTATGTTTTCTTTTTAAGGTGCTTTGTGAATTTCATGGGTCTTGGTATATTGTGTTTCTATTTTTTATTTGTTTGAAGAATGTTTAAAATTTTCCTTGTAATTTCTTCATTGACACATTGGTTATTCAGGAGTATGCTGTTTAATTTCCATTTATTTGTAAAAGTTTTAAAGTTCCTCTGGTTATTGATTTCTAGTTTTATTCCACTATGTTTAGAAAATATGTTTGATATGATTTCAATTCTTTTCAATTTCTTGAGACGATTTTTTGTGTCCTAACACATGATCTGGCCTATAGAATGTCCTGTGTGTTAATGAAAGAATGCACATTCTGTATCTTTTCAATGAAATGCTCTGTAAATAACTGTTAGGCCCATTTTTACTGAAGTGCAGTCTAAATCAAATGATTTTTGTTAATTTTCTGTTTAAATGATCTGTCAAATATTGAGAGTATGTTGTTGAAGGTCCAATTCTTATGGGATAGGAGTCTATCTCTCATTTCAGATCTGATAATATTTGCTTTGTATATCTATGTGCTCCAGTGTTAGGTGTGTATGTATTTGAAATTGATCTTCCTGTGTCTAAATTGATTCCCATACAATGTAATGACCTTCTTTGTCTCTTTATAGTTTTTCATTTAAAATCTGTTTTTAGATATGAATATAGTTGCTCCTGTTTGCTTTGGTTTCTGTTTCTGTGGAATATCTTTTTTGAATTCTTCACTTTTAGCCTATATGTGTCTTTACAAGTGAAGTGAGTGTCTTGTAGGCAGCATAAAGTTGGGTCATGTATTTACTTATTTAGCAAGTCTATATCTTTTAAGAGAAGAATATAATTGGTTTACATTAAAGGGTATTGTTGATAAGTGAAGACTTATTCCTGTTATTTTGTTATTTTTTTCTGGTTGTTTTGTGTATCCTTTGTTGTTTCCTTCCTTCTGTATTGTTTTATGTATTGTATTCCTCTTGTATTGTGTTTGAGTGGTTTTCTGTAGTGATAAGGTTTGACCCCTTTCTCTTTCTTTATTGTATATCTGCACTCCCAGTGAGTTTTATACTTTTGAGGTTTTTTGATGATAATTATTATTATCTATTTGCTTCTAGGTGTAGGACTCCCTTGAGCATTTCTTGTAGGTTTGGTCTAGTGGTGGTGAATTTCTTTAGGTTTTTGCTTCTCTGGGAAAGACTTTTTTATTTTACTTCGTCCTCATTTCTGACAGATAATTTTACTGGATGTAATATTATTGGTTGCTATTTTTTACAACACTTTGAATATATTATCCTATTCTCTCCTCTCCTGGAAGATTTCTTTGAAGAAATGTACTGTTAGTCTAATAGGGATTATCTTCTATGTGACTTAATACTAGTCTGTGTGTTTGTATAATTCTCTCCTAGTCTCTGACTTAACACTTTGACTATGATATGCCTCATAAATGACCTATTAGGGTTGAACCTTTTGGAGAACCATTGAGCTTCCTGGATCTATATGTTCATGTCTCTCTACAGACTTGGGAAATTTTCAGCCAGCATTTCATAAACTTATCCTCTGCCTTTTTTCTTCTCTTTTTGAAACTCCCATAATATCAACATTTGTTTACTTAATGGTGTCCTATATATCTTAGGCTTTTTTTCATTTTTATTCTTATTTCTTTAATTTTTATGAGAAGGTGATTTGAAATAACCTTTAACTTCAGAGATTGTACGTTCTGCTTGCAGCTTTATATTGACTATTCATTTTATTTATGAGATTCTTCAGCTGCAGGAATTGCTTTTATTTTTAATTTCTATTTTTTGTTAAATTTTTTATTCAGATTGTGAATTGATTTCTTGATTTCATTAAATTCCTTATCTATATTTTCTTTTATCTTAGTTTCCTTATGATTATTATTTTGAATTTTTTTCTGGCACTTCATTGATTTTCTTTTCACTGGAATTTGATACAAGAAAGTCATAAAGTTCTTTTGGTGGTGTCATATTTTCTTGTTTTTCATGTTTCTTTGTTTCCCTGTGTTGACATCTGTGAATATGATGAAACAACTGCCTCTTCCACTTTCACCTGAAGTTGGGTTTTAGTGTGCCATTAGGAAAGAGTATGGTGGCTCTATTTTGGGGTAGGTATAGTTGTATAGATTCCATGCCACTTCTTTAGGTGCATTCAATTTTGGCAATGACTATGGACACTTCAGTAGGCTATAGCAGCTATAGCAGCTTATAGGAGCAGTGTCAGTGGCATATGTTGTTAATGCCCTCAGTGTCAAGAGGTTTTGGATCTCTCTTATTATCATTTTCTCCACAATGGGGATACTTAATCAAGGGGACTCCTTTTGTTGTTAGAGCTGACGTGGCTTACAAATAGTTGAGTTCCAAATTCAGGTTCTTGGTTGGAGCAAAAGTGTGGCTAGAGTCCTAGTTTAGGGTCCTACAAACATATTGTGGCATCTGGGTCTTGAGGTCCTTGTTCATTCTCTGTGGCTGGGCTGCATATAGGTTGCCCACAGAGACTGGACATGTGACTCTGAGGCACCCACTAGGCTCACCAGCAGCTTGGACCCAGGGGACTAGTTTTTAGCTGTAATTTTACCCCTCATGGACAGAGTACAGCCCTTCCCTGACTCTGTGTAAAAGGAGATATTTTGGAGGTTTGGGTCCAGGAAACAGGGTATATCTACGATTTTGAAATTTGAACTAGTAAGCCTTTCTGGCAATTCAGGTCCCAGGAGATGAGATACTTTGTAGTTGTGACTATAAACCTTGAGATGTTGGGGTTCAGTAGTATCCCAGATTTGGTGAGGCCAGGTACAGTGGAAGGAAGTAGCCCAGAATGGCAGAGCGCAGCTGCCACTTGGGCTGTGAGAAGAGGCAGGAAGCAGCACAGTGATTATTTTACTTTCCAGCAAGTGGGGTATCTCAGCAGCTCATACTGTAGGACACTAGTCCAGATGCAGAGAAGCAGGGTACTAGAGTTGTTTTGCCTGTAGGGCAGAGTGTCTCAGCTTGACCACTGGTCTGCGTCCTTGGGATGTGGGCTACTGCATCGTCTCAGCCTTGCGGTGCACAGTTGGCAAGTTTAGCCAGGACATTGATTCCCCAAGTGGGTAATATGCTGCTAGAGTTCAGACTTGGGGGATGTGATTATTCTAAGAAGCCCATACATTCTTTCCCTGAGATGCAGGTTTTCACTTTGGCATAGGTATTTGGGAGGTGTGACAGCTCTGAGTGGTTAAGGTACTGTTTTCCCAGGAGATTGCTTCAGTTCTGGCCCAAGGTGCTAGAGGGAAGGATAGGTATAGAAGCTCCACCTCTGTTTGGCCTCACACGGTAAGATGTAACAGCTGCTTCCAGCATGGCTTAAGAATTTTGGGCCACCAGGCTGGAGTGATTCAGCCGTGCCTTAACCTCTAAGTTGAAGGGATGTCATGGCTACTTGCCCCAAGAACAAGACAGACTACAGTTGTAATTCCAATACCAAGATGGCATAGCACAGTAGCTATGTGGCCACAGGGCATGAGACAGATTGTCAGCTCCTTCTCTGAGGCAACACAGCTATGTAGAATCCAGGCAGTAGGAGATTATAATAGTGAAGTCTGAAGATATAATATGTAGATAAGGGTTGCTGGGATCCTTTTGCTTACCTCTTCACTGAAAGAAAAAGTGTTTCTTGGTTCCCAGAAGATCTTGGTTTGGGAATGGGGTGGTAGATGCCTAACACTGTCTTCCATTCTTTATGTGGCTATCCAAGTTTCTGCACTAACCTGGATTTCTGTTACATTAGACAGAACTGTTCTTTAATATCCTTTGATCCCAGCCTTCCACATGACATTCACTGCTCTCTATGTAGCTCTTTGTAGGCCCCTGGCTTCTCATCATCAATTTTGCTGATTTCTGTGTTTTTCTTTTCTTTCATTTTCCTTACTCCTCCTTTCCACATGACTGTCAAAAACTCCAGTTTAGTCATTTATAACTCCCATATTAAGCCAAGCTCCACATTCTGCCATGCAAATCCCAACTATATCATAGTGCTCTCCTGAGGAAAAATAACTACCTACTCCCTTAATTTCACAAAACATTTGCAGAGACACCTGTTTCCACCCTATCTCTTATCTACTTCCTTCAACTAAGATAGCTGTCGTTCTAAATAGAATTTTATTATTAATATACATTTAATGACCATTATAATTGGCTGAAATGTGTCATTAAAGAATGTGTCTGTGATTATACACAGAGCTATTGCTACTGCTTTTCTCTTATGCCTTCCTTTGTATAATTTTCACATATTCATTACTTCTGTGTCTACCATGTAATAAATTAATATTGTTTCTCTTTAATATTTCTCTTCTTCATAACAACTTCTTATTCTCCATTATGATGTGATCATCTTCTTATTGATTCTTCTTAGATTTCTAGTTTTGTTCTGTTTTATCATTTTTATAGTTAACTCTTTTGTGTAAATATCTTACAGTCAATGTATTATATTTTAATTAAAATTTAATGTGAAGAACATAAATTGATAATTTATTAACATAATTTCCCTGTGTAGACTGAATATTACATATTCTCTCTTAGCTCAGACACTTTTGTAGCCTCAGATATCTCTTGTGCATGAAATTATTACCGTTCCCTGTATAGCTGAGTCTATTACATATCGGAATGGACAATTAACTTAAATCACAGTCAGTAACGCCACTTTGGGGATGCACATTTAGATATTTCTTTTCCAAACCGCAATCCCTTCCCTTTACCACATTCTGCCTTTTCCTAACGCTCTACTACATTTACGACTTTTTGAACTCAGGGATTAGGCCACGTTAATACCTGCACCATATACAGCACCCTTTAGAGTATCAGTAAAAATATACTCGCTGAACTTCGAATGTATTCACTAAAATTACAATGAAGTGTATGGAAAATAGATGAATTCCAAAACATGCCTCAGCTGGAGCAGAAATACTAGAGTTTCTTCTCTTTCTTCAGGCAAGAGCCAGTCTTGAGATGTGAAATGTGCTTTATCAACTGATAATGTTTCTTGGAGACACCCCACAAAGGGCTCTCTTTTTATTATGAGACTCATTGAACATCTGCAAGAATATGCCTGTTCCTGTGATGTGGAGGAAATTTTCTGCAAGGTAGGGCTCTAGTGGATGCTATTTCACTCTACTTCCCTGAATGCTTGGCTATTGCAATTGGAAGCATAGGAAGCAGATCCAGACATGTTTATCTTCCCATAAAGCCCTTCTTTCCAAAAGAGTTTTGAAGTTCTTTGGAGAGTGAACAAGCCTGGGGGCCAAATCAAATCTATTAAGACCCACAGCCTCAATAAAACAATCATTTATTTTCACCCTCCCCTTGACCTGCAGAGACAAATGAGTGGACTCTAATTTGCCTGTGTCCCTCATGGCTATTAGATCCAACCACAGATTTAAAAAGCCCCTAGGAGGTCATTCAATGCTTAGATAAGCACATGGCTATACTTGTTGCAGACACAAGTACTTTTTGTTTTTGTCACTTATTTTGCTATATTTGTTGTAGTCTTTTTGGCATGAGTCAACAAACTTTTCAGAAAAACCGTTCTCCAGACTTTCCTTTCTTTCGGGTTCGACTTTCATTTGAGCAGCCAGATGATAAAGCACAGATGCCCAGCACTGAAAGGATGACTTTGACAATACGCTTCTACCTCTTCCCAGAACATTAAAATAAGGAAGCTGTATGAATGTCTGTGGGCAGGTATGTCAGGTGTGTGGGAAGTTTGAGGAAAGTGTACTGAAAGTCCATTTTAGTAAAGGACTCTAGGTCTACAGGCCTAGAATTTTATAATCCAAAAATTTAAATTTTGAAATGCTCTAAAATCCAAAACTGTGTGAGTGCCCACATGATATTCAAAGGAAATCCTTATTAAAGCATTTCAAATTTTAGGTTTTTGGATTAAGGATAATAAACCAGTAAGTATAATGCAGATATTCCAATATACAAAAATATCTGTAATTCAAAATACTTCTGGTAGCATGCAACTTGGATAACGGATAATCAAGCCATAGTACAATATACAGAAAATACTGAAGTAATGCCTTTCTTCTTGTCAGTGTAGAGCACATTGCTCTTCTCCCGAAGTTTTTCTTTTAGACCCTTTCTGAGGGTCAGCTGATATGGACCTAGAAGTGGCCATAAGTCTATAAAGGCTGACTTTTAGATGTTTCTCCCCTTAACCTCAGCAGGGTAACATTTTTAAATAGCATGTGGCCTTTCCTTTTAAGATTGCATATGTTCCCATTGGTGGTATAACTTTATAACTTACATTTCTTTTAGCAAAATTCTCTTTTATGTTTGTTTTTTATTTTTTTCCCCATAGGAAACCAAGAGTTTCTTCATTCTGTAATGGTTTTTGGAATTATGTCTTTTTAATAATAGACTTTTTTGAACATTTTAATAAATCTAATATAAAAGTAAAAACATGTCCTCAATTTTCTTCCACACTGGAGAAACAGGGGTGGGAAATCAGAGGGAGTGATGAATTTAGAATGTTAGACTTAATTAGTAAGATCTGAACTGGCTATTGGCACCATTTTTTCATTTGAAAAACCATTTGCTACGCTTTCCGCTTTAGGGATGCAGATACAAGTTACCACAGGTACCTGACTTCAAAAAATTTAGAGCTCAGCAGGAGAGATGGGGAGAAGACAGATAGTTATGACAGTGACAGTGCAGTGTGATAAGGGACTTTTCCCAAATCCCACAGTTTACTACCGACAAATCCATGAACAGAACCTCCATATTTCTACCCTTTGTTAAGGTATTTAAGAGAGAGAAAGTAAATTTTGAATTAACTTCAGTAGTTTACAGACTTCTTGAAAAGGTAAGACAGCCATCAAAAATGAAGCGCTTGGCAGATGGTGCATGACACCCTAAAGAAACTCTAGGGTGCATGGTGTGCACAGTGAAGTCCCTGCATGGTGCAAAGAAAATGAGTTTGGGGTGAAATCGCTCACTCAGGGATGTTAAGATTTAGGGAGGATTGGAAGAACTACCCTTTCACCTGCAAATATGAGCCTTTTCTAATCTTTATCCTATTAAATCAAAGTGAATGTCTGACCTTTTAAAAACCTTCATAGTTGAACACTTTACGATCCCTTTTTCTTTGGACTTTATTAACTGTTTGAGCATACATTTTCTGTACTAACGTGCATATTCTACTACAACCTGAGACTCCATCTGTGATCAGTCTTTGCGCAGAGAATATCAAAAAGCAGAAGTAAATTGTTACCCTCAGTAAAAATTAACTGTTAAGGCAATCTTAAGAAGTTGAAGGAACGCATTCCAGGGAGTAAAGGGATTCCTTCAGAACACTCTCCAGTCAAAGGATAAGATGACAGGGAGATGTGCAGGGGTGGCAGCATCATGATTCCTCAGCACAGTTTAAACTGTCGCAGGTGCCAATACTTCTTGTTTTTGTCATTTATGTTGCTGTATTTGTTGCAGTTTTTCTGGTGTAAGATTCTACATCACAAAAGGTCCACAGACTTTCTCTTTTTAGGTCTGATTTTCATTTGAGCTTCCAGATGGTAGGGCACAGATGCTCAACACTGAGTGACATTGACAAGATGTTTCTTTCTCTTCCTAGGACATTAAAAAAAGTAGGTTGTATGAATGTCTGTGAGCAAGTGTGTGTATGTGTGTGTTGGGGGTTTGCAGACGTTGGAGAATAGTAACGAAGTTCTGTTCTGGTCAAGATTTCCAGTTCTAAATGTATTATTCCTCATCCAGAATTTCAAAATCTGAAATCCTCCAATATCTACATTCTTTCCTATTACCTCCCACAATTTTTTATCAAAAAGTGACATTGAAAAGTCCTCAAAAATTGCTAGTATAAATGCCTTCATTCCATAAAAACCGTAAGAGTATCTCATATTGATATTGAGTGTTTTTTTAAATATAATTCCAACTTTATTTTCCATCAAGGGGTACATGTGCAGGTTCATGATCTGGGTATACTGCATGGTGCTGTGGTTTTGGTGACAATCGTTCCTCGCATCCAAGTTGTGAGCATAGTACATAATAGTTTTTCAACCCTTGACCCTCTACCTCTGTCCTCCCTCTTATTGACTCCAGTGTCCATTGTGCCCACTTGTATGTCTATGTGTACCCAATGTGATTAAATGGGTACAGAAACAGTACCCATTAACATTCCCCAAATTCCCCCACACCACACTATTCTTCCCATCCTCTGGTAATAATTCTTCAATCTCTGCTTCATTGAGTTCAAATATTTGAAAATTTAGCTCCCACAGATAAGTTTTTATTTGCATTTCTCTAATAATAATGTTGTGCACCTTTTCATATACCTGTTTGGCATTTGTATGTACTCTTTTGAGAAATGTCTATTTAGATCTTTTGCCCATTTTTTCAATCAGATTATTAAAATTTTCTCCTATAGAGTTGTTTGAGCTCCTTATATATGCTGGTTTTTAATCCCTTTTCAAATGGATAGTTTGCAATTTTTTGCCCATTCTGTGGGTTTTGTCTTTACATTGTTGATGGTTTCCTTTGCTGTGCAAAAGGTTTTTAACTTTATGTAATCCCATTTGTCCATTTTTGCTTTGGTTGCTCATGCTCATGGAGTGTTAAGCCCAGTTCAAAGGACTGGAGAATTTCTCCATTTTTTATAAGAGTTCCATAGTTTGAGGTCTTTGATTTAAGTCTTTGATTCATTTTGATATGATTTTTGTATAAGGCAGGAGGTAGGGGTCTAGGTTCATTCTTTTGTATATGGATATACAGTTTATTTTCAGTACCGTTTATTAAAGAGACTGTCCTCTCACCAATGTATTTATATTCTTAGCACCATTGTCAAAAATGAGTTCACTATAGATGTATGGATTTATCTCTGGATTTTGTAATCTGTTCCATTGATTTATGTGTCTGTTTTTATACCAGTACTATGCCATTTTAATAACTACAGCTCTGCAGTGTAATTAAAAGTCAGGTAATGGGATTCTTACAGTTTTGTTCTTTTTCCTCAGGGTACCTTTGGCTATTTTAGATCTTTTGTGGTTCTATATACATTTTAGGATTTCTTCTTATTTTATTATTTCTGTGAAGAATGTCAGTGGTATCTTTATAAGGACTGCATTGAGTCTATAGATTGCTTTAGGTAGTAGAGATGTGTTAACAATATTGATTCTTTTAATCCATAAACAATTCTTTTTATTTTTTTGCATCCTCTTTAATATCTTACATTAATGTTTTATAGTTTTCATTGCAAGGGTCTTCTACTTCTTTGGTTAATGTAATTCCTAGATATTTAATTTTAATTCTAGCTATTGTATATGGAATTATTTTCTTGATTTCTTTTTCAGATTGCTTATCATTGGCATATAGAAATGCTACTAAATTTTGTACATTAATTTCTGTATCTTGCAATGTTTCTGAATTAGTTTATCAGGTCTAAGAGTTTTTTGGTGGAGTCTTTAGGATTTTTCAGATATAAGTTCACATAATCTGCAAACAAGGATAATTTGACTTCTTCCTTTCCAATCTGGATGCCCTTTATTTCTTTATCTTGTCTAATTGCTCTGCCTAGGACTTGCAACACTATGTTGGATAACAGTGTTGAAAGCGGACATCCTGATCTTAGATGAGAGGCTTTCAGTTTTTCTCCACTCAGTATAACTAACTGTGGGTTTCTAGTATATGTCTTTTATTATGTTGAAGTATGTTCTTTCAGTACCTGTTCTTTTTTTTTTAGAATTTTCATGAGCAAGGTATCTTGAATTGTATTAAATGCTTTTTCAGCATCAATTGAAATGATTTTATGTTTTGTGTCCTTTCTTCTGTTGATACAATGTATTACATTGGTTGATTTACATATGTTGAACAATTCTTACATCTCTTGGATAAATCCTACTTGGTCATGATGAATGATCTTTTTAATGTGTTGTTGAATTTGGCTTGCTAGTGTTTTGTTATGGATATTTGCATCAATATTCATCAATCATATTGGCTGATATTTTATTTTTCTTTTTTTTTTTAATGTGCCTTTGTCTGGTTTTGGTATCAGAGTAATGCTGTCCTTGTAGAATAAGTTTGGAAGTATTTCTTCCTCTGTTAATCTAAGGTTTTTTTTTTTCCTTCAAATTATTTTTAGTTCTGGTGTACTTGTGTAGGATGTGCAGGTTTGTTACATAGGTAAATGTTTGCCATCGTGGTTTGCTGCACAGATTAACCAATCATCTAGGTATTAACCCAGAATCCATTAGCTATTCCTCCTGATGCCCTTCCTTCCCCTGACACCCTCACAGGCCCAAGCGTGTGTTGTTCTCCTCACTGTGTAAATGTGTTCTCATTGCTCAGCTCCCACTTTAAGTGAGAACATGAGGTGTTCGTTTTTTTGTTCCTGAATTAGTTTGCTGAGTATAATGGCTTCCACCTCCATCCATGTTCCTGTGAAGGACAAGATCTCATTTCTTTTTATGGCTGCATAGTATTCCAGCATGTTATTCCATGATATAGCTGCACAGTATTCCATGCTGTGTATGTAAAACCATTTCTTTATCCTATCTATCACTGATGGGTATTTAGGTTGATTATACGTCTTTGCTATTGTGAATAGTGCTGCAATGAAGATACGCTTCCATGTATCTTTGTAATAGAATGATGTATATTCCTTTGGGTATGAAAATCTCCAACCTACTTCCCACAGTGCTGAACTAATTCAGGTTTCCACCAATATTGTATAGGCATTGCTTTTTCTTCACAGTGTTGTCAGCATCAGTTATTTTTTGACTTTTATTTTCACACAAAAAATAAAAGGAGAAAACACTTCTCAATTTATTCTGTGAGACCAATATTAACTTGATATCAGAACTTCACAATAGCAAAGACCTGGAATCAACCCAAATGCCCATCAGCAATAGACTGGATAAAGAAAATGTGGTACATATACACCATCTAATACTATGCAACCATAAAGAAGGATGAGATCATATCCTTTGCAGAGACATGAATTACCTGGTAGCAATTATCCTCAGAAAACTGGCACAGAAACAGAAAACCAAACACTGCATGTCCTCACTTATAAGTGGGAGCTGAACAATGAGAACACATGAACACATGGAGGAGAACAATACACATTGGGGCCTGACAGGGGGATTTGAAGGGAGAGAGGGCATTAGGAAAAATATCTAATGCATGCTTGGCTTAATAGCTAGGTGATAGGTTGATCTGTGCAGCAAACCACCATGGCACAGGTTTACCTAAGTCACAAACCTGCACATGCTGCACATTAATCTCAGAAATTAAAAAATTACATCTAATAAATTCACACATTAAAATTATCAAAAATTCTAAAAAACTGAATACAGCAACATATAAAAATTATTATACATGATGACCAAATGATATACTTTTGACATTTTGTCAATAGCCATTCTGATTGGTGTGAGATGGTATCTTACTGTGCTTTCGGTTCATTTTTCTCTGATGATTAGTGATGCTGAACACTTCCATATATTTTTTGCTACTTGTATGTCTTCCTTTGAGAAGTGTCTGTTTATGTCTTTCGCCTACTTTTTAATGGTGTTATTTATTTTTTTCTGCTGAGTTGTTTTAGTTACTTACAGGTTCTGGATATTGGACTTTTGTTGGATACATCGTTTGTAAATGTTTTCTCTCATTCTGTCTCAGCACCATTTATTGAATAGAGAGTCCATTCCTCAGTGCTTATTTTTGCCCACTTTGTCAAAGAACAGATGGCATACAGCTTTATTTCTAAGTTTTTCATTTTGTCTATTGGTCTATGTGTCTGTTTTTGTACCAGGACCACACTGTTTTTGTTACTGTAGCCTGATAGTACAGTTTGAAGTCAGGAAAGGGGACGCTTCCAGCTTTGTTTTTGTTGCTTAGGGTGGCTTTAACTATTCAGGCTCTTCGCTTGTTCCATATGAATTTTAGAATTGGTTTTATTTTTCACTCTGTGAAAAATGGTATTGATCATTTGATAGGAATAACATTGAATGTGTGGATTGCCTTAGGCAGTATGGCCATTTTAATGGTATTGATTCTTTTACTCTGTGAGCATGGAATATTTTCCCATTTGTTTGTGTCATATCTGATTTTAGTGTTTTGTGGCTCTCCTTGTAGAGCTCTTTTAGATGTTTTCCTAGGTATTTTATTTTTATTTTTTGGTTATTGCAGTTGAGATGAGTTCTTGATTTGGCTCACAGCTTCAACGTTTGTGGTGTACAGAAGTGTTATTGAATTTTGTACATTGGAGGACAGTTTGACTTCTTCTTTTCCGATTTGGATAACCTGTATTTCCTTCTGCTGTCTGATCACTCTGGCTAGGACTTCCAGGATTATGTGGAACAGTTGTGTTGAGAGAGAGAATCCTTGTCTTGTGCTGGTTTTCAAAGGGAATACTTTTAGATGTTTGGCTATGAATTTGTCATAGATGACTCTTATTATTTTGGGGTCTGTTTCCTTTGTTGCCTAATTTGTTGAGGGTTTTTTATCATAAAGGGATGTTGGGTTTTATCAACAGCTTTTCTGTGTCTGCTTTTTTATTTTAAATCCTGCTTATTTGGTGAATCACATTTATTGACTTGTGTATGTTGAATCAATCTTGCATTATGGGAATGAAGTGCACTGGATTATGGTGAATTAACTTTTTGATGTGCTGCTGTATTCAGTTTGCTAGTATTTTGTTGAACAAAACCGAAACCTTTTTGGATGTTGACATGATATTCAAAGGAAATGCTTATTGAAGTATTTCAGATTTTAGGTTATGGGATTAGGAATGCTCAACTAGTAATTATAACGTAGATATTCCAAAATTCAGAAAAGTACGAAATCCAAAACATTTTGTGTCCCCAGCATTTTGGAAAAGAGATACTCTACCCATAGTATAAAAAACAGGGAATTCTGAAAAAACACCTTCCTTCTGGTCAGTGCAGAGTACATTGCTCTTCTCTAAAAGTTCTTTGCTTAAACCACTCCTTTTGAGGGTCAGTTGATGTTGATTTCTGAGGTGGTAATAAGATCACAAATGCTCACTTATAGGTGTTTCTCTCTCATTTCAGTAGGGGAATACTTAGACACAGCATGGGCTATTTCCTCTTCAGAATGTGTATAGTCCCATTGGTGGTATGACACTATAACTTGCATATCTTTTGGTGGAAGTTTTTTAAATGTTTGCTTTATTTGTTTTTTCCCACAGGAAGCCAAGAATTCTCTCTTTATGCACCTATTTTTGAGTCATGTCTGTTTAAAAACACACAGTTCCATAAGCATTCCATTAAGCCTGATATAAAAATGAAAGAATGTCCTATTTTTTTAACCACACTAGAAAAAAACAGAAGATGAAATTTTGAGCAGGTAATGGATTTAGAGTCTTTAAACTTGATTCATAAGACATGAACTGGCTAGTAGCACCATTTTTTCCTTCAGAAAACCATTTTCAAGGCTTTCTGCTTTAGGAATACAGATATAAATTATAGAAAGTATGTAACTTTGAAGAATTTAGAATACAGCAGGAGAGGTGGGGAGAAGAAAGACAGTTATCATAGTGAAAGCATGATGTGAAAAGGGACATTTTTCCAAATCCCAGAGTTTACTATTGACAAATTCATGAAGAGAAACTGCACATATCTAACATTTGCTAAGAGTTTTGAGAAATACAAAGTAAATTTGGATTCAACCCTAGATCCCTAAGATTTCACAGTCTATTTAAGAATGTATAACACTCAACAAACATAAAAGCAATAGCAGATAGAGCATGACACTCTGAAGAAACACTACAGTGCATTGAATGCAAAATTATACACCTGCATTGTGCAGGGGAAAATAGTTTGGGGTTAAATCAGTCACTCAGTGATGTGAAGATTTTGAAGAACTGGAAGAACTACAAATTCAGTTGCAGTCATGAGCCTTTTTCTAATCCTAAACTCATTAAAAGTGAAGGTGAATTTCTGATTTCTTGAAATCCTTCAATGTCGAACATCATAATGCCATTTTATTTTATTATTTTTTTTAAGTTCTGGAATACATGTGCAGGATGTGCAGGTTTGTTACATAGGTAAATATGTGCCATGGTGGTTTCCTGTACAGATCAACCCATCACCTCTTTATTAGGTCAAGCATTCATTAGCTCTTTTCTCTAATGCCCTCCTCCATTCCCCATCCTCTTCTCTGGCCCCAGTGTGTGTTGTTCCCTTCCCTGTGTCCATGTGTTCTCATTGTTCAGCTCCCACTTATAAGTGAGAACATGCAGTGTTTGGTTTTCTGTTCTTGCATTAGTCTGCTGAGGATAATGGCTTCTAGCTTCATCCTTGTCCCTGCAAAGGACATGATCTCATCAATTTTTATAGCTGCATAGTATTCCATGGTGTATATGTAGAACATTTTCTCTATCCAGCCTATCACTGATGGACATTTGGGTTGATTTCATGTCTTTGCTATTGTGAATAGTGCTGCAATGAACATATGCATGCATGTAATGTATCTTTATAATAGAATGATTTATACTCCTCTGTGTATATACCCAGTAATGGTATTTCTGTGTCAAATGGTATTTCTGGTTCTAAATCTTTGATGAATCACCACACACTCTTTCACAATGGTTGAACAAATTTACATTTCCACCAACAGTGTTGAATGCAGCATACTGACGGGTCCTGTCTTTTTATCCAACTTGCCATTCTGTGTCTTTTAATTGGGGCATTTAGCCCATTTACTTTTAAGGTTAATATTGGTATGTGTGAATTTGATCCTGTCATCATGATGTTGGCTGGTTAATTTCACAGACTTGTTAATGCAGTTGCTTCATAGTGTCATTTGCCTGTGTATTTTAGTATGTTTTTGTAGTGGCTGCTAACAGATTTTCCTTTCCATTCCTAGTGCTTCCTTCAGGACCTCTTGCAAGGTAAGCCTGCTGGTGACAAAATCCTTCAGCATTTGCTTGTCTGAAAAGAATTTTATTTCTCCTTCACTTATGAAGCTTAATTTGGCCAGATATGAAATTCTGGGTTGGAAATTATTTTCTTTATGAATGTTGACTATTGGTCCCCAGAATTTTCTGGCTTGTAGGGTTTCTGCTGAGAAGTCCGCTGCTATTCTGATGGGCTTCCCTTTGTAGGTGACCTGGCCTCTCTCTCTGGCTGCCCTTAACATTTTTTCCTTCATTTCAACCTTGGAGAATCTGCTGATTATCTGTCTTGGGATTGATCTTCTTGTGGAGTATCTTACTGGGGTTGTCTGAATTTCCTGAATTTGAATGTTGGTCTGTCTTGCTAGGTTGTGGATGTTCTCCTGGATGACATCCTGAAGTATGTTTGTCAACTTGGTTCCACTCTCCCCATCTCTTTCAGGTACTTCAATCAGTCGTAGGTTTGGTCTTTTTACATAGTCTAATAGTTCTGGAATATTGTTCATTGCCTTTTATTTTTTTTCTCTAATCTTGTCTGCCTGCCTTATTTCAGCAAGATAGTGTTCAAGCTCTGATATTCTTCCTTCTGCCTGATAGATTCGCCTATTAATACTTGTGTTTGCATCATGAAGCTCTCATGCTGTGTTTCTCAGCTCCATCAGATCATTTGTATTCCTCTCTAAACTGGTTATTCTAATTAACAGTTCCTGTAATCTTTTATCATGGTTCTCAGCTTATTTGCATTGGGTTAGAACATAATCCTTTAGCTCAGCAAAGTTTGTCATTACTCAGTTTCTGATACCTACTTTTGTCAGTTCATCCATCTCAGCTTCAGCCCTGTTGTGTGCCCTTGCTGGAGAAGTGTTGAAATCATTTAAGGAGAAAAGGCATTCCAGCTTTTGGAATTTTCAGCGGTCTTGCATTGGTTTTTCATCATCTTTGCGGATTTATCTACCTTTAATCCTGAAGCTGTTGACCTTTGGATGGGATTTTTGTAGGGTCTTTTTTGTTAATGCTGTTGTTATTATTGCTTTCTGTTTTTTGTTTTTCTTCTAACAATCAGTCCCCTCTTCTGCAGATCTGCTGCAGTTTGCCCAAGGTCCACTCTAGACACTGTTCACCTGGGTATCATCAAAGGAGGCTGTAGAATAGCAAAGGTTGCTGCCTGCTCCTTCCTCTGGAAGCTTCATCCCAGAGGAGCACTGACCTGATGCCAGTCGGAACTCTCCTGCATGAGGTGTCTGGTGACCCCTGTTGAAAGGTCTCACCCAGTCAGCAGGAAAGGGATCAAGAACCCACTTAAGGAAGTAGTCTGGCTATCCGTTAGCAGAGCTGGTTCACTGTGCTGGGGAAGCCCCCTTGTCTGGATTGCTGGGACTCTTCAGATCCAGCACGTAGGAAAGATTAAGTTGGTTGAACCTGAGACCACAGCCGCCCCTCCCCACAGGTGCTCTGTCCTAGGGAAATGAGAGCTCTGTCTGTAAACTCCTGGCTGGTGTTGGTGGAATTCCTGCAAGGATGACTTGCCCAGTGGGGAGGGATGGATCCCAGTCCCACCTAAAGGAGCACTCTGGCCATGATCTGTTCCAGCGGCTGTGATGCACTGTGAAGACTGCTGCCCAGTCCAATCTGCCCAGCCTCCCTAGCACTCGTAGGGGAAAACCGCTGACTAGAGCTGCAGTAATGGCAGTCGCCCCTCCCCTGGGGAAGTCGGTCATCTTAGGCCTACACCAGGCTGCTATGCTGGCCTGTGGGGGGTACTAATCCAGTGGATCTAAGCTTGCAGGCTTCTGTTAGAGTGGACCTACTGAACAAGGCCATTTTGCTCCCTGGCTGGCTTCAGCCCCCTTTCCATGGGAGTGGATGGACTCCTGCCTCACTAGAGTTCCGAGAGCTGCTGGACTATGTAAAAACTCCTGCAGCTCAGTGCCTGCCCAAACAGCCTCCGACCAGAAAAGCAGCCGTGGGTCTGCCCAGTTTTGTGCTTGAGACCCAAGGCCCTGATGGTATATGCTCACGAGGGGATCTCCTGAGCCCTGGACTGCAAAAATCCTGGAAAAAATAGTACCCCGGGTGGGTAGCACAGTCCCTCACTGCCTCCCTTGCCTGAGGGAAGGAGGTCCCTTTGTCCGGTGTAGCTCCTGGGTGAACTGCCGTCCCACCCTGCTTTTCCTTGCTTTCTGTGTGTTGCACCAACTGCCTAGATAGTCCCAGTGATAGGATTTGGGTCCCTCAGTTTGAAATGCAAACATCACTCGCCCTGTGTGTTTTTCTCTGTGGGAGCTGCAGACTGGAGCTGTTTCTACTCAGCCATCATGGCTTTTTCTTTCTCCTTTTACTTACTGTTCTTCTGTGCATATTTCTTTTGTATAATCACACATTAATTCTACTACAGCCTGAGACTCCTTCTACAATCAGCTTTCATTCAGGGGATATTAAAAAGCAAAGGTGAAATTTCACCCTCAGTAAAAATGAAATGTTATGGCCATCTTAGGTAGTAAAAGGAAAGCATGCCAGGGATTAGACCGCAGGGTTCTTGCAGCACTATCTCCAATAAAAGGGAGATAGAGAGGGGAAAACATCGTGATGATACAGTAAGACAGTTTAAGCAGGAAATATGAACTATTTGGTTAATTCTTATGAGGAAATGAAAGAAGACTTGTGAGATTAAACTCCTTCAGTCATTGTGGTTCTTTGTGATCAGAGAAAGAAAAACTGAGAGATCAGGAAGAGAAGAGACAGATGGATAGAAGAAGTAGAGGGGCCACAGGAAACAAGGAAAAGAAACAGGCTGAGGTGTCAACCCACAGGACAATGTTTTGTCTTTTTCTTTTTTTTTTTTTCCTCCCACAGGAAGAAACTAAGTTCCAGTACTTGGATGCCAACTTGCTGACGACAAGGCACTTCCTTACAATGAGCCTGGAATTCTAAGCAGCAGTTTCACAATCTGTAATTGCACGTTTCTGCCCTTTACAATAAAGAAATACACAATTTCCTTTCATTTTTTAGTCTGAGGCTCTTTTCAATGCTGTAGGAAAGAACACAGGCTGTTACCTACGGCAGGTGATTCCTTTTCTGACTAGGAACTTGAGAGTAGGATCTCAGTAAACACTTGATTTATTGATGTGTAATAAACACAAGAAAGGAGGTGAACCGGTAGCACGCATGTTGAATTCTTTTTCTTATTGGTTGTGTGTAGTTTGAATCACAGGATCTGGTGCTAAAGACACTGAAGGAGATCCTATGTTTTCCAGATGTCTTCGACCCAGAAAGAAGTTAGTTCCTTTCTTTCAGCTTCTGTTAATCAAAGGAAGGGTAAAGAAAGGTAGAGGAAGTTATTTGTGTGAGACAAGCCTGGAAGTTGCAAAATGCACTCTGAAATCTTTCTCTTGATTCCAAGTTAATTGCCCGGATCATAAACATTCCTCCCAGAATCAGACCTGAGAGCCTCTGAATTGTTAACCTCTTTGCCATCTCTTATTGTGAATTATATCCTTGGTTTGTTTAAAGTGATTCCATTTTTACCCCTTTCTCTGGTCGAGGTACTGACTACTTTAATGCAATATTTCATAGGTAACTATCACATTTGTGTGGTTGTTGCTGTTGTTGTTTTTAAGTGGTCTCCCTCTCTCCAGGACTTAACTCTCCGATCCATTCTGCACACAACTTTTGGGTCTCCTGTCTTATATAACGAAGCTGAAAAAGCCTAAGAGATAGTCATGAGTTACTTAGGCAGCTAGTATTCCAGCAGGTCATAACGCTTCTTTGGCTTCATTCTCCTCATAGGAAAAGGGAGAAATTGAACCAGATCAGTGGATTCTAAACCTTATAAAATATCACAGTAATCTGTAGTCATATAAAAATGTCTGATGACTACCCCCTTCCTCACCCTGAATAGCTCAATCTTAAATATCCTGCAGGCATTTATTGCCATTTGAAGATCTGCAGATAATTCTTATGAAACTGGCCTGGCATAGGTTTGTCTGCATATTAGTGTCATTAGGAAGGTTGATCAGTTAGTTAACTCTCTCTGCTTACCTGCTAGTGATCTATTAATGTAATTAACTTTGCTCATGGACATACAGTGGCACCTTATTGCCTTTCTTAAAAAAAATCTGAACTTTCAGACAAGTTTCTCTACCTTCTGAAACATGTGTATTCATTTTTTCCATTAATTCCTGTAAAGCATGATTTCAGCTTCATAAAAAATTACTGTATTTACTTCAGTCATATTTTCTTGTTGTTGAGTTTCTTTATTCCTTTGATTCTCCCTATAGATCAATTGTATCCGGGTTTTATATCTCACCTCATAACATTTAACTTAAGCTCAGAATCAAGGGATCATTAGATAATAGATAGGAGAAATTGAAAGCCACTAGTCAAAAACAAGTCATGGTCTGATAATTATAGACAAACAAGTGTAGACAGCTATTGTTACCTTAAACTCCTGAGGAATTGTATCCTATAATGTGTTTAAGCATTACATCACCTTACGTGGAACCAAAACTGTGGTCCTGATGAGTTTTTTTCCTCTAATTGATTCCTTCCATTTTTATTAACACTGCAGCTTTCATTCAGTGATTATTATAATAATAAAAAATAATCTATAATAACGGTTTCTTTGAAAAATACTTACCGTATGATAGCTATTTCATGCACTCTCTCTGATTTAATATTTAAAACCAATCAATACAGTTGTGCTATTATTGCCATATTATAATTGAAGGGGAAACTTAGAGAATGCCTTCAAAATATGCTTTAGGTCAAAAGTCTGTTGAGAGGAGTGATTTCAGGTTGGCATGCTTCTCAAACTCTGCCATTAATCTACCTTTCTGCAAACATCTTCAAATACTTGCCCTGAGTCTGATCACTCCCACTTCAGTCTTGGCTTCACATTTCTATTCCTTCTAAAGCCCAGCTCTCCCAGTTTTGTGGTTACATGAGACGCTCTCAAGCCTTTGTGCTTCTTCCCACACTGCTCTCTGCCAGGAGACCAACCCCCAGTTGTCCAAGGGATAAATTCCTACTAGTCCTTCCAGATTCAGTGCCAAGCCCTCTCTTCTCTGGAGAGCTATCTTCCACCTGAGACATTGTTTACTTATGGTTTTCTTAAGCATCTCATTATTTACATTCTTATGTTTCATTTTACTTATTTGCATATCTATCCACTTGATTGCAAGCTTTAAAGTGTACGAACATGTTTCCAAAATGGTACCCCCAACACTAGGAGAATAAGTTAAGAATTAATGATCATTAAATATTCCTGAAAGGGGCCAGGCGCAATGGCTCATGCCTGTAATCACAGCAGTTTGGGAGGGCATGGTGGGCAGATCACCTGAGGTCAGTCATTCGAGACTAGCCTGGCCAACATGGTAAAACCCTGTCTCTACTAAAAATACAAAAAAATTAGCCAGGCATGGTGGCGCATGCCTGTAATCCCAGCTACTCGAGAGGCTGAGCCAGGAGAATTCCTTGAACCTGGGAGGTGGAGGTTGCAGTGAGCCGAGATGGCACCATTGCGCTCCAGCCTGGATAACAAGAGCGAAACTCCATCTCAAAAAATATATATATTCCTGAATGGATAGGGGAATGAACATGGCTTCTTTCTGCTTGAAACCCACTGTGTACTTAACGTCTGTTAATGAAATCAAACTTACCTGGTTTGCTATTAAGGATTTGTTGCCATCCAATGGGTTCACCTTGTCCACTGCTTAGACAGAGCTGATTTATCAGGGTAGGGGAATTGCAATCAGGAAACAGTAATTGACTCACAGCCGGCTGTGTGGGTGATGAGAGTTTTGTTATTACTTAAATCAGTCTCCCCGAGCATTCAGAAATCAGAATGTTTAAAGATAATTTGGCCGGTAGGGGCTTAGGAAGTAGGGAGTGCTGATTAGTTAGGTGGGAGATGGAATCATAGGGTGTCAAAGTGAGGTTTTCTTGCTGTCTTCTCTTCCTGGGTGCGATGGCAGCCTGGTTGGGTTAGATTACGGGTCTGGGTAGTGTCAGCTGATCCACTGAGTGCAGTGTCTGAAAAATATCTTAAGTGCTGATCTTAGGTTTCACAATAGTGATATTATCCCCGGAGCATGTTGGGGACGTTCAGACTCTAGGAGCCAGAGGTTGCATGACACTTAAATTGTAATTTTTAATCTTGTAGCTAATTTGTTAGTCCTGCAAAGGCAGACTGGATCCCAGGCAAGAAGGGGTCTTTTCGGGAAAGGGCTGTAATCAATTTTGTTTCAGAGTCAAACCATGAACTGAATTCTTTCCCAAAGTTAGTTCAGCCTATGCCCAGGAATGAAGAAGGACAGCTTAAGTGTTAGAAGCAAGATGGAGTTGGTTAGGTCTGATTTCTTTCACTGTCATAATTTCCTCAGTTGCAATATTGTAAAGGTAGTGTCAATCCATTCCTTTGGGTTTTATAACAGCTTAGTCTTAAGATGTAGGCTGCGAAGATGGGAAAACACCATTGATCACACTGGCTTCTACCTGCTGTTGGGACATAGTGGAAATTGGAGTGAACCCCAAGTTGAGAAGATTGGAACCACTTTGCAACTGTCTGAGCATACTCATGCAGGCCTGACTGGGCTTCCAATGCTTGCAATGCAAAAACATTACTACTCTTCTCTGTAGTTTTACTACAGTATTTATGTGAACAGCCTCCTGTAAGGTAAATAACAAATCCTAGGATGAGGAGTAAAATTCCCAATTTTAAAAGCAAAGATTTGAAAGCACTAGTTTGGGGACTTCTAATCTACAAAGAATTTAGGATTTATTCCAAACTGCAGGAAAAAAAAAAAAACTCAAGGACAACTAACAACAGGTATATTATATGTTTTCTTTTGAAGGATAATTTTTCTCTTTCCAGACTCATTTTTATTAAGAACAAATTATGACAGAAATAATTTGTTTACAAAAATAAGCTTTAGTCTTTTTGTACTTGACCTGATTATTTGCATAAGGTGCAACAAGAATAATTATTTTTCAGTTAGGCTGTTTTTTGTTTAAATTGGCTTTGATGCAACTCTGTTCCATGAGGAATCTCAGATAAGACTTTTCAAGAGCCGAGCCCAGCCATGCATTTGTACCCTCAAATACCTATGAGTTGGATAAATTCCTCTCCTCTCAAGGTTCCAAGATAAACTGGAGCTCCTGAACCTGTTAGACAGTGATATTCTTACTTACCAGAGATCAAGAAACTTGTACAAGGACTCTGTGTAGACAAGGTATGAAGCCAGATTCCCCAAGGGGTTTTATTGTCTCTATAAGTCAACTTTGATTCTTTAAAGGAAGCATGCCATTCCAGTCAAATTCTTGGTAAAATAACCAATTTCTCCAATTGTGTCCTGTTAAAAAAGAAAACAGATTCTTATTGTACTTATGCAATTAACTATTCTGCCATAAATTGTGAATACTTACAAATAGCTTCCAAATTCTGGAGAAATCAGGTAGAGAGAAACAAACATGGTTCAAAATTTTTTCACAGGAGCATATTTTACTCACTTGTTAAAAGTTGCAAATAGCTCTAAAGAAATAAGTTATCTTAACTCTGAAAACAAAAGGATTAGTGATGTTTAACACATGCGCTCTCCCTGAGAGTCCTAGAAGTTTCATTTTTTCTTCTATTCCAATAGGACAATTTTTAAAGTTATCTGATACCTGCACTCAGAGTCTTATATCTGATTATAAACTGCCTTTTCAAAAGGACCAAAGCAGGATAAAATATCTGTGGATGACAAATGCCTATAGACACTATTAAAGTTACAATTGACTAGAAATTTTGCTTACTTCTGTGGCATCCATCAATTTTACATAACAATGATAATTACTAATAATATACACTAAATAATATCAGAATTATAGAAGTTTATATAAATACACAGACAGAAGATTCAGCACTTGTAAGATTTTTTATTTGCCAGATTTTTAATTGGATTACCAGCTTCAGGGTGGATCCCTTGGAGAAACAGGGTCAGGAAAGCATGCATTTTTTTCCAAGTAAATACACAGCCACAGGTGAAGGGAAAGACAGATCTCCAAAATTAAGGGTGCCATTTTATACTGGATTTGGGATCCCCAAAAGGATGGAAGTACTACCGGAGAAGACAGTGAAGTGCTTCTACCCTGCATTTTGTTGCAAGGCAACCTAAAACCAATCAGCCCATTTTGAAATCAGCCCAAGCCCATGGGAGTCTCATCTCTCAGTCAGAGGTGAGGATATTTCCATATCTTCCAGGTTTCCAAGAGCATGTTTCTCTAATCCAAGTGTGCAAAGAGCCAAGTATCCCTCCAAAAATACTCTTAGCCATCCATTATATATATTTCCAGCCTAGTTAGTACATATCAAAGCTCTTTCATAATACAAAGTAATTTCTGATACCCCCAAAACTCAAACTGTCAGATAACACAGTGCAAAACAGAACAGAGCCTTTGATTTTGAGAGGGATCTATGTACATTGAATTCCTGGGGTTTAAGGAAGAAAACAGAGGGGGGTTTTTTTTGTTTGTTTTTTGTTGTTTGTTTGTTTTCCAAAACAAGGTCTATGGTTCCTCCTCTGTTTTTCCCAAGGAGTCCCAGGCTACCAGAAGTTATCTTAGGGCCTCTCATGTGTGCATTAAGAGTGGCAAGACAAAAATGGAGAAAAATAATTCACTTGACTAAGAAGAAAAAAACCTTTTACAGAAAAACGAGATCCAAGAAGAGAAAAACATGAAGGCCTTTTAAGTGTATCCATAGTTTGTTTATTCACTTTTAATTAAGCTGAATTTTAACCATAGTGCTCTTTAAAAAATCATTTTAAATTTCTTATTACTCAACTTTAGCCAAGCAGCCAATATTTCTGGCTTTTGAACTTTACCAAAAGTAACCTCCCATGCACTTCAAAGACATGGTAAGCAGTTTCTTTTTACAAGATTTAGAATTTCCCCAAGGTAGTTCAGAGCAAGGAAAATTCAAGAGAGGAAGTCAGAAGCTATCCGTGGGGTTGTGGGGGAACCTCATTAAATGGCAAAGTTATGCAAATAGCAAACCAGAAAGAAATCATTCCAGAAGCCAAGAATAGAGCCTAGGCCACTATTGTCAAAAGGCAAAGTCTTACCTACTGAATTACAGCATTGAGCAGTTTCTAGTGCTAGTCCCAGAAGGAGCCTAGAGAAGCCAATGTTAACCGTGCCAAGGCTTTTAACTGCTCAAGAAAAAATTTTAGGGCTGGATGGTGTAAACCAATAGAAAGTATCCACATATGGTCACAAGATTAAGCTCTTAAGGAGACCAAACAAGACAGAGGAATTTCATAGAGTATTGGTTTCAGGGACCCATGGCAAAGTTTATAATTGGCCAGCCTGCTGAGCAGTCTATTATTACTACCACTGACCTTTTTCATTTCAAAATTTTAACGTTATTTCAGTATAATTTACATAAAAGAAAACATACCCCTTTTAAGAATGCAAGTTGGTTATTAATGATTAGAGGATATTTAGTATAATAACTTCCTAATGAATAGGCAAACCAATTATGTCACTGCAGAAAGTTTTGTCATACCCTTTCTTCTTAATCTCCTTCCACTTCCTCCTCAGATAAGTTGTGATTGAATTTATTTCACTATACGTTAGTTGTTTTCTAATTTAGAACTTTATATAATTGGAATCACAGGGTATGTGTTCCTTCCTACATGGCTTCTTTCACTCATATTTAAAACATAATATTTTTATCCATGTTATTGCATATTTTGGTAATATTTCCTTTTTATGACTGAATAGCATTTCAGTGTATGTGTATAGCACAAATTGTTTATTTATGCTCCTGAATTGGATATTGAGTTGTTGCCAGTTTATGACATCTTCATTTTTGAGGAAACAGTGGGCACTTGTAATCTAGTGGCTCAATGCTTAGCTTCCCAGGACAAAAGACTCATGGCTCATGGTTCTACATCCCTATATATATGGTCTAGTCATGGCTTCTGTGTCCTGGGTGCCATTTTGTCATACTTTGTACAAGCCATGAACTCACTGATTCATGGCTCTGCCTGGGGGAGAAAACTATGTGTGAAATCCTTAAGTTAATAGAGAAAATAAAAGAATCAGTACATAAATGTAAAAGTAAATGAATGGAAGAGAAGTGATGCACAGGTAATTTCTGCTTTCTTCCATGCTCCAAATCCTCCCACTGTCAAGGAGCTCAAGATTTTGCTGCAATCTGACTAGGTCATTGACAAAGTAAAGATAAAAAAAAATCATGAGAAAGCCCTTAGGTTAAAAGCCACATTATTTTCCTTCTACACAGTGCATTCTAGTCTAACCTAAACACGTTTAACTCATCGCTTAGAGCACAGGAAGTAACATTGGTGGCCCACATGTCAAAAGGTGGATGTTTTTGTGACTCCTGGTCCTTATTCTCCAAAGATAACAAGGTAATGACACAAGAAAGTTTTTTTTAAAGAAATTGATAAATGTGAAGTACTGTCTGCATTTTTTTTATTAGTCCAACTTGCATCAAAGAGGTTCATAAAATAAATTGGCCGCATTGAGTTTATTTCTGGAATTATCAATTGAACATGTGCTTGCAAAGACAGAGACCTCTTCTGGCCTTCTCTGGCTTCTCATTCTACAGTTTTCATGAGTCCTAAAATATTTTGTCTCCCATTTCTCCAACTAATTTCTTATTCTTCTCATCACTTGCCATATTTGCACATTCTGAATATTCCAGTTACATACTACATACCAGGCTTCATGTTTGTCTTCCCCTCTTGTATGTGAGAGCAAGGGGGAAATGACCATGATATGTTTTGACTGAACCCCTGGCTCCTAGAACCATATCGTCCATATATATTTGTTGAGTGAATGACTAGATGCACTGCTTGAAGAGTCTAACGAAAGATAAACTTAGCTGGATAATCTGCAAATAATTATCCTTGATTTTTCTAATGTAAAATATTTGTATTAATTATAGTAATATCACTCATTATCTGCTTACCATTTGCCAGGCAATGTTGCATGCATTTTGTACATTTTGTCTCACTTAATGCTCAATGTGTAGGTATGTACTATTATTAAAATTATTTCACAGGCAGAGGAACTAATGCATAGGGAAGTTCAATTTCTTGCCCAAGAAATGAAGTTTAAGATGCTAAGTTCAACATTCTGAGTCCAGAGCCTGTGCTCCAGGCCTCTATGAGGTAATGTTCCTCAAAAGAAAGCCATCCAGGATGGGTGGGTGGCTCACAGCTGTAATCCCAGCAGTTTGGGAGGCCAACGTGAGTGAATTGCTTGAGTGCAGAATATCAAAAACAGCCTAGGAAACATAGGGAGACCTTGTCTTTACAAACATAAAAATATTATCCAGCCGTGGTAGCATGTGCTTGTGTTCCCAGCTACTTGGGAGGCAGAGCTGAGAGGATCATCTGAGCCTAGGGAGGTGGAGGCTGCTGTGAGCCCTGTTAGTGCCACTGCACTCCAGCCTGTGTGACAGAATAAAATTCTGTATCAGAAAAAAAAATCTGAAAAGGAAGGACATTAAATAGGAAAAGCTTTAATTTTTGTGAAAAATGTGTTCATTTCTTGAAGTAAAATTGTTTCACAGGGACATACATTTCCCATGACTTTCCCTAGACTGTGAAATGGGCCCAGGAGAGCAGTGGTTCAAATTCTCTAAAGGTTGTGTTACTTTTCTCCATCAAGCTTTCTAACGAATGAGAAATTCTTCACTATGAGTTTAATTGTACACATACTTTGTCATTCTTGTCTTATTCTCCAAGCCCCATTCCCCTCCTACCCTGACTTGTTCAAAGGGCTGGTGAAGAAAATTTCCCAAAGATACACTCTCTGTTGCAGCCTACAGTTCAGGAATCTGAATCTTACTCTATTAAAAAAATGAAAAAATAAAAAAAGACATGCATATGCATGTGCAGTGGTTTCCCAATATGTGTACATGCCCTGCCAAAATGTATAAAAGGAAGGTAAAAAGAAAGGTGGTGCATGCTTTCAGTTTCAGCTTACACAAGAAGGGAGGAGAGAAAAGCCATGGCCGGTGAGTCTTTTACTGTCCCAAAAACAGGCCCCTGGGAGGAAAAAGTTGTGGAAGGCGCTTGCTCTTCTGGAAGCTATCATCAGTATCTGTGGAGGTTTATGTGAGCAAAAGTGAGGGACAGGGAGGAGAGTGAGGAGAGAAGAAATTAGATGACTCTTGCAGCCTTTAGAAAGGAAAGGAAAGCCCAGAAAGGAACTGAGGCTTTAGGAGTAGCTTGCTGTCATTTTGCAATCTTATTTAAACTCTTACATGTTGTAAGTGTGGCAGAGGCTACAGAATTGGCACAGGAGGAGTACTAGCAGCAGTGGTTCCTAAATGAAATGGGCTATTTCTGTTTCATTACTTTATTATTCAGAGTTAAATAATCATGTGACATAAGAGGATGATTTCTGCTTTCCAGGGACTAATGTGGAAATGGTAAACTGAGTCTTCAGGCCACTCCATGCACATGTATGGAGACTATTGAGGGAAACAAGTAGTACAGCGATAAAGTAAGAAGAGGGATTACCCAACTGTGAGGAGGGGGACATTTCACTGATGAAATCTAAATGAGGTTGCCTTCTGGTGATGACATGAGAGGAATATGAGGCTGTTTTCATGATGTGAGAAATCCTTGTGCTCCAAACAGACAAGGTCCTGAAGGAGAAGAGAAAGCAGTTTATCCGTTCAGTGGGCGAAGGTACAATAAATGGCTTACTGGGTGAATTATTGGAGACAAGGGTGCTGAGCCAGGAAGAGATAGAGATAGTAAAATGTGAAAATGCTACAGTTATGGATAAGGCCCGAGCTTTGCTTGACTCTGTTATTCGGAAAGGGGCTCCAGCATGCCAAATTTGCATCACATACATTTGTGAAGAAGACAGTCACCTGGCAGGGACGCTGGGACTCTCAGCAGGTAAGGGTCAGTGACTCATACTCAAGTTCGCCTAGGGCCTGTCATTGTGACTACCATGTGATGTCTTTACTAGTCATGTTAAGTTGCAGAAAACTTCCTTCTCTCTGGCTTCAGGCAATATTTCTGTAACACGGGCCCTACTGCATGTCCCTTGACTCTCCTTCGTTTCTGTTTACTCATCCTCAGTGGCCCTCTTCTGATTAAAGCACATTTCCTGTTCTGAGTAAGCGGTAGCTGATTTCCTGAAGGTTATGAGAACTATCTAAAAAGCTTCACACTATATGTTCCACTGTTCCAGGCGAGGCACAATATTTATTGATTGATTTAGTATTTTTGAGTCCAGGGTGTACCCAGGCACTTATGTAGTTGTCTGTCATGAAGGTTTAAGGTCTGTAATTAAATACGTTTTATAACTTCTCTCCAAAATATTGCCCTCCAAGAAGAATAAGTTATATTTCAAAAGTGGTGATATACTCAGAGAATACACTGAATGATTATAGAAAAGTAAGGATTTCAAGTTGGCTTTTTCCTCCCGTTGCCTCCTTGCATTTTCTTTTGAGTAAGATCACCCACTTGCCTGTTATCAGGCTGTGGATCATGCTGTGAGCCCTGGACTGCCTCCATTTGTGGCCACCTTGTGACCTGATACAGTGCACAGGAAATGAGTTGGCCCATTCCTGTGATCCCTTGGACCTACCACATGGTGAGGATGAGAGTTCTGGTGGACTCCTAGTTACTGGTCTCTGTGGTACTTTCCAATGCCACTTCAGAGGCAGATGTTCTTTCAAAGTAAAAGGCTTTTTTTGTTTTGTTTTGTTTTCTAAGGGTTAGAGGAAGCTTACGCCTGTCTAAGCAGACATGGGAGAAGTTTATGTTTTCATCTATGTGTAATAAATGTCATATTTTTCTGACAATGTCTCTTTCATTTTATACCCCCACGACTCTCTAAATTAAAGAACATTTTGAACGTTATTTAATGTCGTTCAGTCAGGGTTGTGGGAGGAATCTTTAGTGGGGAGTGTTGTAAGCATTAGGGTAAAGTTTTCCAGAGATGATAAGTGACTATTTCAATGTCCTTCTTCTTTCTCTAGGTCCAACATCTGGAAATCACCTTACTACACAAGATTCTCAAATAGTACTTCCTTCCTAGGTAATGCTGTTTTTAAAGAAAGAGCATTCTTTGAACCGTGGCTTCCCGTGACATTAATGTTGTAGGATGAACCACAGTTAAAGGGGCTATGAAGAATTCCCATAGAGTGATCATACAATTTTCTTTTTGTAATCTATTCTGCTTTTGTAGCAACTGTCAAAACAGCTTCACTATCTATGTTTACATTAAAATTTGGAATCAGTATCTCAAATCCTGATTACCCAAATAAGTACCAAACTTCATCATTTAAGCCTACTGAAATATTCCCTCACGTCTCCTAGAGACACCTTTATCTAAACAATATCAGAGCTGAACATGCCATTCTTCCCCACCCTGCTTCTCTTCCAGTTTTGTGTAACTCGGTTATTGATGTCACCATCACCAGTTGTTCAAACCAGGAACTTGAAACACATCTTGGCCCCTTTCCTCTCACGCATCTCCAATATTCAAGCCACCGCCAAGTTTTATGCATTCTTCTCTCAAATTTGGAACTGTCTCGCTATTTCTTCTTCTATTTCATTAAAAACCCCTATTCATCAAGGGCCCTCTTAAAATAAAAGAAACTTATATTTAAAAGCAATTTAGAGGCAAGAAGTGTAAATTTTTCTATCAACTTCAGTTTTTACTCTATTGAATTTATTAAGGTTGATTAACTCATGAATATTTTCTTAAATGTTTTACAGCATGGGACACTCACTATATAACCAAATACTGCATTTTCACTAAGAAAAATTACCTCAAACATAACTCATATACCTCTATTTAGTTTTTTTATGTCGTTTTCATTCTTCTTTCTGAAGAAACCAAACATTTCTTCTATCAAATTACTAATTTTTAGTTTTCTCCAATATATCCATTCCAATTAGTTCTTCCCCAAGTCAACACAATTCATGCTGCCTTTATTTATCTAACTAATTGTATAACAGTTTCTCAAACTTGTTTTCAAAATTAAATATTATTTCCTTGACATAATAGTTTCTAAAAGATACTCCACAAATCTAGAAAACTAATTTCTATCTTGAAACAAAGATTACATTAAGTTTTTTAACAACTATATCACATTGTCGGATGGTGTTGTACTGGTGATGAAATAAAAGCTGCAAGGATTTTTTCACATAAACTCTGTGAAAACATTTCCTCATATGTCTGTGCAGTCAATGTTAAGTGCTATAAATCCATCTAGTGTGCACTTTGATTTTAGCATTTATCATTCTAGTTCATATATTTAATAATCTCCTTCTTCCATATGTATACATAGTAGGAAGAGATCCTGAAGGACAGGCCAAAGTTCATTAAAAAAGTATTCCTAGTGCTTACTACCATGTCTATTCAGTAAATAAATAAAGAGATAAACATATTTCTTAAAGATTTTTGGTAGATTTTGTTAAGACCTCCTCCCATTAAATTTTATTCTATGGTTCAAATCTTTTGAAATAAATTTATGTTCTATTTTATCTCACACATTTGATTGTTTTCTGAGCATTTTTTCATGCATGGCCTTGAAAAGCTTCCTTTCTACATTTTTATCTAAAATACTTGTAAAAATACTGATCCTGAAATATGAAAGGAGATCCCTGTATTGCACACCTGGAAATCTCTGGCTGGAAATGTACTCCATTAGCAGTGAAATTATTCAGCGGTGAAAGATCAGGATTGTCTTCCTAAGAATGCATTTCCACTTTTGTGGCTTCATCCTTAGGTGAGGCTGTAAGAAACACAAAGCGGAACAAAGAGGGATGCCAATGTTCATGATATTCTTTGACTCTTGCGACTCCTCAGGCTGTGGCAGTGTGGGACAGCCCTGCTATGCCTACATCCTCAGGCTCAGGAGGAAGCATCAAGCTTTGCTCCCTAGACGAAGCTAAAAGGATATGGAAAGAAAAGTTGACAGAGGTGCCATGCTCAGAACACAAGGTTAGAGTGGGGTGAAAGATACATTTGAGGCAATTCTGAAATGCAGTGGCTTTTTCTTAGAGCTGTTCTCAACGGAGAATCTTACTTCTGCTTCCTTTACCTAAAAAAAAAAAAAAAATCCTGCATCCTAGGATCCCAGGTTTATAGAAACAGTTCCTAATTGCACCCAATTCCTGGATAAATAACATCAACAATGGCAGCTATTGAATGTTCACTAAGAGTGGGCACTGTTCTAAGCATTTTGTACATGATAATACATAATTTTTAACCTTAAAAATAATCCATTTTAGAGATCTAGAAGCTGAGACATGGGGTTGTTAAATATTCTGCCCAAAGAAAAACAATAAAAAATTAGAGCAATCAGTTTTAGAATTCAGGCATTCTGGCTTCAAAGCTTGTGCATTTTTCAAAATCCTACGTATCAAGAAAAATGAAGTCAGTAGCTAACCTGCCATCTGGGCCTTTGCAGTTTCTATGCCTACTCTCGAAGTAGCACTGAATTCCGTTCCCCATTTTCAATGTGTAGTCCAAGGGATTTGGTACCTTGATAGGACTAAGAAAGGGAAAATGGTCATAAATTAACCAGGTGAATATTAAATTACAGAGAATAAGACTATTCATCCAAACTGCATTTCCTACAGATTTATCCAATAATGGGCAAGTCAAGCTGCACACATCATGCTTGCTCTCATTATCTTTAACAAAGAGTTTGACAGTCTTTCTAAAAGAGTGGGAGCTGAGGTTGATGTCATAGGCATGATGATGCTGCTACAAAATCTGGGGTACAAGGTGGATGAGAAAAGAAATCTCACTGCTTCGGTAAGGTCTATTATACCATAGAGACAACGGTCATGCCCTTTGTGTAACTAAATAATATTAGAAAGCTTGGTTGTAGGACCAAGAATTGTAATCTGTTGATAATCTAAAATATAAACTTGCCATGGAAGGATGCTGGATGCTACATATTCCCCTGAAACATCAGAGTCATTCAGCATGAGTCTGGTTTAACTTAAATGTGAAGGTTTTTTTTTTTTTTTTCTCAGTAATGCCACGTTCTCTTTACCAGATAACTCTGAATGACTTCCTACAACACCTTCCTTCACCTTTCTCGAAATTAAGACTAAAAGGTTTTTTGGCCCTCCATTGTTTGTCATGAAATTACTTAAGAAATCCTTAAGTACTTATTTATTGGCTTTCCAAGGTGCCATGAGGGTTAATCACATAGTCCAAAATCAGCAGTATGGTCTCTTTCAGGAAATGACTACAGAGTTGGAGGTATTTTCTCTGCACCAAGAGCACAAGGCCTCTGGTCTCATGGTATTCGGGAAGGCATTTGTGGGAAGAAATACTCTGAGCAAGTCCCAGATGTATTACAACTCAATGAAATCTTTAAAACGTTGAATAGCAAGAACTGCCCAAGTTTGAAGGACAAACCCAAGGTGATAATCATCCAGGCCTGCCATGTTGGTGAGGCTAATGTCTTTGAGAACACCAGACATTCAAATACTGTCCTCATCTGTATTCATCATGAATTTTCAGTTTATGTCTGTTTTTTAGTGTCAAAGAACATACACTGTCAGCACTCAAGATGTGGCTTCTGTGAATTGTATGACTGGTTGGTAGATATTTGTTTTATATTCAAGTCTGAGACTTTGATGTTTGGTGGTTTTTAAAATTAGTTTGAGAGTTAGAAGAAATAAGAATTGTTGAAAGAATGTTACTTGAATGTATGTGTGTATGTGCATGTGAATTAATGATAGAGCAAATATATTGATAAATATGATTGAACAGACGCTAAGAGGAGAACGTTGTCCTCTCAGCCATTGGTAGTAGTAACAAACCAAATTTTGTCTTTCCAGAGAACCATGGTGTGGTGTTGGTAAAAGATTCAGTACCGGCCTCTGAAAATATATCTTTACCAACTCCGGGAGATTTTGAGGATGATGCTATTAATCAAGTACACATAGAGAAGGATTTTATTGCTTTCTGCTCTTCCACATTAGGTAACAGGTTTCTTGTACACAGAACATCTTTGTGGGTGTTATCAATAGAAAAACTCACAGCCACCCACTAGAGGGTAGATACCTGTGCAGAACTTTAGATAAGATTTTTGAACACAAACTAAAGCTTTGTTCCAAGTTATACACAGGATTCCCTTTATCCTCAAAGAGCAAGTAAGCACTTCTTTTCACTGATTTAGTAATTAATGAACTCCTCTCTGTTGCAAAATATTTTAGAACTGTGAGAGATAACAGAGAATGAAATGGAAGACGATCTCTGCTGTAGAACATTAGAGTCTGACTCTACATAGAAAAGGTCCTCCATGTTGAGATCATTCAATGGACCAATTGGGCCTAACATCAAGTATTCATAGGAGAAGAGTAGAAGCAGGGTTCAGAAAAGTAGAACAGCAAGCGAGGAACTTTGGGCCCCTAAATTAAAGTGGGTTTTACCTAGAAGCAAGTATATAAAGCAGAATATATACGCATTATTCTAAATGTATGCTTTGCAGTAAGAATCTTGCTATTATTGACAGATCTAGTCATTTAGTACTTTGTAAACTAGCTCCACTAGTTCCTCCCTGTACTTTCCTTGAATTACTCACTAATATATATGAATATAAATATCATTTTTTAAGGATTAAAGAAATTAATATATGTGAAATATTGCACATGACAGAAAGAAGTACACATTAAAGAACTGGTATTATTTAAAATGTTTTTATTTTATAACTTCATTCAGTTACTTTTCTTAGCAAGGTTTAAATAAAAATGACTTGAATGCTTTTATCCACCTTGTATGGCAGTTTCCTGAGAGGACTCGCATTGTCTTGGTCACCTCTGGCTCAAAGGCCCTGCCTCTGCTCAAGTAGTTAAATTTTCTGAAATAATTTGTACAATGAGATATCTTCTTTCAGAAGAAGTTTGGTTCTATATTGTCTTGAACATGCCCTGATGCAGAACTCAATATTTTTTCAATGATCAAAACCAATGACAAGATAAACACACAAAAAAATACATTTCCAGCCTGAGTACATAGAGTAGACTATAACATTAGACAGAACTGTTCTTTAATATCCTTTGATCCCAGCCTTCCACATGACATTCATGGCCCTCTATATAGCATTTTGTAGGCCCCCGGCTTCTCATCACCAATCCTGCTGATTTCCGTGTTTTTCTTTTCTTTCATTTTCCTTACTCCTCCTTTCCATATGACTGTCAGAAACTCCATTTAGTTATTTATAACTCCCATATTAAGCCTAGCTCCACATTCTGCTGTGCAAATCCCAACTATTTCATAGTGCTCTCCTGAGGAAAAGTAACTATCTACTTCCTTAATTTCACAAAACATTTGCAGAAACACCTGTTTCCACCTTATCTCTTACCTACTTCCTTCAACTAAGATAGCTGTGGTTCTAAATAGAATTTTATTATTAATATACACTTTATGACCATTATAATTGGCTGAAATGTGTCATTAAAGAAGTCTGTGATTATACACAGAGCTATTGCTACTGCTTTTCTCTTATGCCTCCCTTTGTATAATTTTCACATGTCTTCATTACTTCCGTGTCTACCATGTAATAAATATTGTTTTCTTTAATATTTTTCTCTTCCATAAGAACTTCTTATTGTCCATTATGATGTCAACATCCTTTTATTGACTTTTCCTAGATTTCTACTTTTGTTCTGTTTTATGATTTTTATGGTTAACTCTTCGTGTGGAAATATCTTACAGTCAATGTTATTAAATTTTCATTAAAATTTTATGTGAAGTACATACATTGAGAATTTATTAACATAATTACCCTGTATAGACTGAGTATTACATACCCTTTGTTAGCTCAGACACTAGTGTAGACTCAGATATCTCCTGTGTATGAAATTGTTACCATTCCCTGTATAGCTGAGTCTATTGCATATCAGCATGGACAATTAACTTAAATCACAGTCAGTAACAGCACTTTGGGGATGCACATTTAGATATTTCTTTTTCAAATCCCAATTCCTTCCCTTTACCACATTCTGCCTTTTCCTAACTCTCTACTAAATTTACGACTGTAACTCTGGGACTATGCAACGTTAGTACCTGCACCATATACAGCACCATTTAGAGTATCAGTAAAAATATACTCACTGAACTTCAAATGTATTCACTAAAAAATACAGTGAAGTGTATGGAAAATAGATGAACTCCAAAATATGCCTCAGCTGGAGCAGAAATACTAGAGTTTCTTCTCTTTCTTCGGGCAAGAGTCAATCTTGAGATTTAAAGCTTTATCAATAGATAATGTTTGCTGGAGACATCCTGCAAAGGGCTCTTTTTGTTATGAGTCATTGAACAACTGCAAGAATATTCCTGTTCCTGTGATGTGGAGGAAATTTTCCACAAGATAGGGCTCTAGTGGATGCTATTTTCACTCTGCTTCCCCGAATGCTTGGCTATTGCAATTGGAAGCATAGAAAGCAGATCCAGACATGTTTATCTTCCAATAACACCCTTCCTTCCAAAAAAGTTTTGAAGTTCTTTGGAGAGTGAACAAGCCTGGGAGCCAGATCCAATCTGTTAAGACCAACAGCCTCAATAAAATAATCATTTAGTTTCACCCACCTCCTGCCCTGCAGAGACACATGAATGGACTCTAATTTCCCTGTGTCCCTCATGGACATTAGATCCAACCACAGATTTAAAACGCCCTGAGGAGAGTGATTCAATGCTTAGATAAGCACATGGCTGTACTTGTTGTAGATACAAGTACTTTTTGTTTTCATCACTTACTTTGCTAGATTTGTTTTAGCCTTTTTGGCATGAGTTAATAATCTTTTCAGAAAAACAGGTCTCCAGACTTTCTTTTCTCTTTCAGGTTCAACTTTCATTTGAGCAGCCAGATGATAAAGCACAGATGCCCAGCACTGAAAGAGTTACTTCGACAAGACGTTTCTATCTCTTCCCAGTACATTAAAATAAGGAAGCTGTATGAATGTCTGAGGGCCGGTATGTGTGTGTGGTCAGGAGTGTGGGAAGGTTGAGTAAAGTGTACTGAAAGTCCATTTTAGTCAAGGACTCGAAGTCTACCGATTGAGAATTTTTAATCCAAAAATTTAAATTTTGAAATGCTCTAAAATCCAAAACTGTGTGAGCGCCCACATGATATTCAAAGGAAATGCTTATTGAAGCATTTCAAATTTTAGGTTTTTGGAATAAGGATGCTAAACCAGTAAGTATAATGTAGATATTCCAATATACAAAAATATCTGAATTTCAAAATACTTCAGGTAGCATGAATTTTGGATAAGGGATAATCAAGCCGTGGCATAATATACAGAAAATACTGAAGTAATGCCTTTCTTCTGGTCTCTGCAGAGCATGCTGCTCTTCTTCCAAAGTTTTTCTTTTTTTCTTTTAGACCCTTTCTGAGGGTCAGCTGATATTGACCTAGAAGTGGCCATAAGTCTATGAAGGCTGACTCTTAGATGTTTCTCCCCTTCACCTCAGCAGGGTAACATTTTAAAATAGCATGTGGCCTTTCCTTTTAAGGTTGCATATGTTCCCATTGGTGGTATAACTTTATAACTTACATTTCTTTTAGCAAAATTCTCTTTTATGCTTGTTTTTTTTCCCCATAGGAAACCTAGAGTTTCTTCATTCTGTAATGGTTTTTGGAATTATATCTGTTTAATAATAGACTTCTGAACATTTTAATAAATCTGATATAAAAGTAAAAACATGTCCTCAGTTTTCTTCCACATTGGAGCAACAGTGGTTGGAAATCAGAGGGAGTACTGAATTTAGAATGTTAGACTTAATCCGTAAGACCTGAACTGGCTATTGGCACCATTTTTTCATTCAAAATACCATTTGCTGCTGGATTGAAGACACAAATTACAAATTAGGGATGCAGATACAAATTACCACAGGTACCCGACTTCAAAAAATTTAGAGCTCTGCAGGAGAGATGGAAAGAAGACGAATAGTTATGACAGTGACACTGCAGTGGGATAAGGGACTTTTCCCAAATCCCAGTTTACTACCAAAAATCCATCAACAGAACCTGCATATTTCTACCCTTTGTTAAGGTATTTAAGAGAGAGAAAGTAAATTTTGAATTAACTGTAGACCTTCAGTAGTTCACAGACTTCTTGAAAAGGTAAGACATACATCAAAAATGAAGCGCTTGGCAGATGGTGCATGACACCCTGAAGAAACTCTAGGATGCATGGTGTGCACAGTGAAGTCCCTGCATGGCGCAAAGAAAATGAGTTAGGGCTGAAATCACTCACTCAGGGATGTTAAGATTTAGGGAGGATTGGAAGAACTACCCTTTCACCTGCAAATATGAACCTTTTCTAATCTTTATCCTATTAATTCAAAGTGAATATCTGACCTTTTAAAAACCTTCGTAGTTGAGCACATTACAATCCCTTTTTTTGTGTGGCCTTTTATTAACTGTTTGTCTGGGCACGTCTTTTCTGTACTATTGTGCATATTCTACTACAACCTAAGACTACATCTGTGATCAGTCTTTGCGCAGAGAATATCAAAAAGCAGAAGTAAATTGTCACCCTCAGTAAAAATTAATTGTTAAGGCAATCTTAAGCAGTTGAAGGAAAGCATTCCAGGGAGTAAAGGGATTCCTCCAGAGCGCTCTCCAATCAAAGGGTAAGATGACAGGGAGATGTGGAGGGGAAGACACTGTCATGATTCCTCAGCACAGTTTAAACGGTTGCAGGTGCCAATAGTTTTTGTTTTTGTCATTTATGTTGCTGTATTTGTTGCAGTTTTTCTGGTGTAAGATTCTACATCACAAAAGGTCCACAGACTTTCTCTTCTTAGGTCCAATTTTCATTTGAGCTTCCAGAGGTAGGGCACAGATGCTCATCACTGAGTGACATTGACAAGATGTTTCTATCTCTTCCTAGGACATTAAAAGAAGTAGGTTGTATGAATGTCCGTGGGCAAATGTCTGTATGTTTGTGTTGGGGATTTGAAGAAGTTGGAGAGGAGTACTGAAGCTCCATTCTGGTCAAGGTGTCTAGTTCTAAATGTGTTACTCTTCATCCAAAATTTCAAAATCTGAAATCCTCCAGTATCTACATTCTTTCCTATTACCTCCCACTTTTTTTTAATCAAAAAGAGACACTGAAAAGTCTGCAATAATTGCTAGTTTAAATGCCTTCGTTCCATTAAATTGTAAGAGTGTCTCCTATTGATATTTTTTTTTTATATAATTCCAACTTTTATTTTCCATCAAGGGGTACATGTGCAGGTTTGTGACCTAGGTATATTGCATGATGCTGTGGTTTTGGTGACAATTGCTCCTCTCATCCAAGTTGTTAGCATAGTACATAATAGTTAGTTTCTCAACCCTTGACCCTCTACCTCCGTCCTCCCTCTTATTGACCCCAGTGTCCATTGAGCCCATTTGTATTCTATGTGTACCCAATGTGATTATTCTTTTGTTTCTGTACCCATTAACATTCCCCAAATTCCCCCACACCACACTATGCTTCCCAGCCTCTGGAAATAATTCTTCAACTCTCTGTTTCATTGAGTTCAAATATTTGAAATTTTAGCTTCCACAAATAAGTTTGATTTGCATTTCACTAATAATAATGTTGTGCATTTTTTCATATACCTGTTTGGCGTTTGTATGTACTCTTTTGAGAAATGTCTATTTAGATCTTCTGCCCATTTTTAAATCAGATTATTAAAATTTTCTCCTTCAGAATTGTTTGAGCTCCTTATATATTCTGGTTTTTAATCCCTTGCCAGATGGATTGTTTGCAATTTTTTGCCCATTCTGTGAGTTTTTTCTTTACTTTGTTGATTGTTTCCTTTGCTGTGCAGAAGGTTTTTAACTTGATGTAATCCCATTTGTCCATTTTTGCTTTGGTTACTCATGCTTCTGGAGTGTTACTCAAAAAATCTTTCTTAGTCCAAAGGACTGGAGAGTTTCTCTATTTTTTGTAAGAGTTCCATAGTTTGAGGTCTTTGATTTAAGTCTTTGATTCATTTTGGTATGATTTTTGTATATGGCAGGAGTCAGGGGTCTAGGTTCATTCTTTTGCATGTGGATATCCAGTTTATTTTCAGTACCATTTATTAAAGAGACAGTCCTCTCACCATTGTCAAAAATGAGTTCACTGTAGATGTGTGGATTTATCTCTGGGTTTTGTAATCTGTTCCATTGATTTATTTGTCTGTTTTTATACCAGTACTATGACATTTTGATAATTACAGTTCTGCAGTGTAACTTAAAGTCAGGTAATGTGATTCTTACAGTTTTGTTATTTTTCTTCAGAGTACCTTTGGCTGTTTTAGATCTTTTGTGGTTCTATATACATTTTAGGATTTCTTTTTATTTTATTATTTCTGTGAAGAATGCCAATGGTATCTTTATAAGGACTGCATTGAATCTATAGATTGCTTTAGGCAGTAGAGACATGTTAACAATATTGACTCTTCCAATCCATAAACAATTTTTAAAAATTTTTTGCATCCTCTTTAATATCTTTCATTAATGTTTTATAGTTTTCATGGCAAGGGTCTTCTACTTCTTTGGTTAATGTAATTCCTAGGTATTTAATTTTAATTCTAGCTATTGTATATGGAATAATTTTCTTGATCTCTTTTTCAGCTTGCTTACCATTGGCATATAGAAATACTATTAAATTTTGCACATTAATTTTTGTATCTTGCAATGTTTCTGAATTAGTTTATCAGGTCTAAGAGTTTTTTGGTGGAGTCTTTAGGATTTTTCAGATATAAGGTCACATAGTCTGCAAACAAGGATAATTTGACTTCTTCCTTTCCAATCTCGATGCCCTTTATTTCTTTATCTTTTCTAATTGCTCTGCCTAGGACTTGCAACACTATGTTGGATAACAGTGTTGAAAGTGGACATCCTGATCTTAGAGGAGAGGCGTTCAGTTTTCCCCACTCAGTATAATACTAGCTGTGGATCTGTAGTATATGACTTTTATTATGTTGAAGTATGTTCTTTCAGTACCTGTTGTTTTTTTTTGAGGATTTTCATGATGAAGGTATTTTGAATTTTATTAAATGCTTTTTCAACATCAATTTAAATGATTTTATGTTTTTTGTCCTTTCTTCTGTTGATACAATGTATCACATTAATTGATTTACATATGTTGAACAATTCTTGCATCCCTTGGATAAATCTTGCTTGGTCATGATGAATGATCTTTTGAATGTGTTGTTGAATTTGGCTTGCTAGTGTTTTGTTATGGATATTTGTATCAATATTCATCAATCATACTGGCCGAAATTTTCTTTCTTTTTTTTTTTTTTTGATGTGCCTTTGTCTGGTTTTGGTATCAGAGTAATGCTGTCCTTGTAATGAGTTTGGAAGTATTTCTTCCTCCTCTGTTAGTCTAAGGTTTTTTTTCCTTCAAATTATTTTAAGTTGTGGTGTACTTGTGTAGGATGTGCAGGTTTGTTACATAGGTAAATGTTTGTCTTGGTGGTTTGCTGTACAGATTAACCAATCATCTAGGTATTAACCCAGAATCCATCAGCTATTCTTCCTGATGCCCTCCCTTCCCCTGACCCCCTCATAGGCCCTAGCATGTGTTGTTCTCTTCGCTATGTAAATGTGTTCTCATTGTTCAGTTCCCACTTTAAGTGAGAACATGAGGTGTTTGCTTTTCTGTTCCTGCATTAGTTTGTTGAGGATAATGGCTTCCACCTCCATCCATGTTCTTGGGAAGGACATGATCTGATTTCTTTTTATGGCTGCATAGTATTCCAGCATGATGTTCCATGATGTAGCTGCACAGTATTCCATGATGTATACATACCACCCTTTCTTATTCCTATCTATCACTGATGGGCATTTAGGTTGATTCCACGTCTTTGCTATTGTGAACAGTGCTGCAGTGAAAATACGCTTCCATTTATCTTTGTAATAGAATGATTTATATTCTTTTGGGTATGAAAATCTCCAATCTACTTCCCACAGTGCTGAACTAATTCAGGTTTCCACCAATATTGTACAGGCATTGCTTTCTCTTCACAGTGTTGCCAGCATCTGTTATTTTTTGACTTTTATTTTCACACAAAAAATAAAAGGAGAAAACACTTCTCAACTTATTCTGTGAGACCAATATTAACTTGATATCAGAACTTCACAATAGCAAAGACTGGAATCAACCCAAATGCCCATCAGCGATAGACTGGATAAAGAAAATGTGGTACATATATGCCATCTAATACTATGCAACCATAAAGAAGGATAAGATCATGTCCTTTGCAGAGACATGAATTACCTGGTAGCAATTATCCTCAGAAAACTGGCATAGAAACAGAAAACCAAACACTGCATGTCCTCACTTATAAGTGGGAGCTGAACAATGAGAACACATGAACACATGGAGGAGAACAACACACACTGGGGCCTGACAGGGGGATTTGAAGGGAGGGAGAGCATTAGGAAAAATATCTAATGCATGCTTGGCTTAATAACTAGGTGATAGATTGGTCTGTGTAGCAAACCACCATGGTACACGTTTACCTAAGTCACAAACCTGCACATGCTGCACATTAATCCCAGAAATTAAAAAATTATATCTAATAAATTCACAAATAAAATTATCAAAAATTCTAAAAAACTGAATCCAGCAACTATAAAAACTATTATACATGATGACCAATGATATACTATGGGTGTTTTATTAATAGCCATTCTGATTGGTGTGACATGGTGCTTTATGGTGATTTTGGTTCGTTTTTCTCTGATGATTAGTGATGTTGAAAATTTTTTCATACATTTTTTGCTACTTGTTTGTCTTGTTTTGAGAAATGTTTGTTCATGTCTTTCACCTACTTTTTAATAGGGTTACTTATTTTTTCCTGCTGAGTTGGTTTAGTTACTTACAGGTTCTGGATATTGGACCTTTGTTGGATACATTGTAAATATGTTCTCTCATTCTGTCTTAGCACCATTTATTGAATAGGGAGTCCATTCCCCATTGCTTATTTTTGTCCACATTGTCAAAGAAAAGATGGCATACAGCTTTATTTCTAAGTTTTTCATTTTGTCTATTAGTCTATGTGTCTGTTTTTGTACGAGGACCACACTGTTTTTGTTACTGTAGCCTTATAGTACAGATTGAAGTCAGGTAAGGTAATGCCTCCAGCTTTGTTTTTGTTGCTTAGGGTGGCTTTGGCTATTCAGGCTCTTCACTGGTTCCACATGAATTTTAGAATTGTTTTTATTTTTCACTCTGTGAAAAATGGCATTGATCATTTGATAGGAATAACACTGAATCTGTGGATTGCCTTGGGCAGATGGCCATTTTAATGGTATTGATTCTTTTACTTTGTGAGCATGGAATGTTTTCCCATTTGTTTGTGTCATATCTGATTTTAGTGTTTTGTAGTTCTCCTTGTAGAGATCTTTTGGAATATTCCTGGGTATTTTCTTTTCCTTTTTTGGCTACTGCAATTGAGGTGAGTTCTTGATTTGGCTCTCAGCTTCGACAGTTTTGGTGTACAGAAGTGCTACTGAATTTTGTACATTGGAGGACAGTTTGACTTCTTCTTTTCCTATTTGGATGCCTTTTATTTCCTTCCATTGTCTGATCACTCTGGCTAGGACTTCCAAGACTATGTGGAATAGTTGTGTTGAGAGAGGGCATCCTTGTCTTGTGCTGGTTTTCAAAGGGAAATCTTTCAGATGTTTGGCTATGGGTTTGTCATAGTTGTCTCTTATTATTTTGGGGTCTGTTCCCTTTGTTGCCTAATTTGTTGAGGGTTTTTTATCATAAAGGGATGTTGCATTCTATAAACAGCTTTTCTGTGTCTGCTTTTTTGTTTTAAATCCTGCTTATGTGGTGAATCACATTTATTGACTTGTGTATGTTGAATCAATCTTGCATTATGGGAATGAAGTGCACTGGATTGTGGTGAGTTAACTTTTTGATGTGCTGCTGTATTCAGTTTACTAGTATTTTGTTGAACAAAATCGAAAACTTTTTGAGTGTTGACATGATATTCAAAGGAAATGCTTATTGAAGTATTTCTGATTTTAGGTTTTGGGATCAGGAATGCCCAACTAGTAAGTGTAATGTAGATATTCCAAAATTCAGAAAAGTCTGAAATCCAAAATATTTTGTGTCCCCAGCACCCAGCATTTTGGAAAAGAGATATTCTACCCATAGTATAATAAACAGGGAATACTGAAAGAACACCTTCCTTCTGCTCAGTGCAGAGTGCACTGTTCTTCTCTCAAAGTTCATTGCTTAAACTATTCCTTTTGAGGGTCAGTTGATGTTGATTTCTGAGGTGGTAATAAGATCACAAATGCTCACTTATAGGTTTTTCTCTCTCATTTCAGCCGGGGAAAATCTAGATACAGCATGGGCTCTTTACTTTTCAGAATGTGTATAGCCCCATTGGTGGTATGACACTATAAGTAGCATATCTTTTAGTGGAACTTTTAAAAATGTTTGCTTTATTTCTTTTCCCCAGAGGAGGCAAAGAATCTCTCTTTATGCCCCTGCTTTTTGAGTCGTGTCTGTTCAAAAACACACAGTTCCACAAGCATTCCATTAAGTCTGATATAAAAATGAAAATGTCCTATGTTTTTTACCACACTGGAAAAAAAAAGATGAAACTTAGAGCAGGTAATGGATTTAGAGTCTTCAGACTTGATTCATAAGACCTGAACTGGCTAATAGCACCATTTTTTCCTTCAGAATACCATTTTCAGGGCTTTCTGCTTTGGGAATACAGATCTAAATTATAGTAAGTACATAACTTTGAAGAATTTAGAACTCAGCAGGAGAGGTGGGGAGAAGGAAGACAGTTATGATAGTGAGAGCATGATGTGAAAAGGGACATTTTTCCAAATCCCAGAGTTTACTATTGACAAATCCATGAAGAGAATCTGCATATTTCTAACCTTTGCTAAGGGTGTTGAGAAATACAAAATAAATTTTGATTAAAACCTAGATCCCTAATATTTCACAGTCTTCTCACAATCAACAAATATAAAAGTAATAGCAGATAGAGCATGAGACTCTGAAGAAACACTACAGTGCATTGAATGCAAAATTATGCACCTGCATTGTGCAGGAGAAAATAGTTTGGGTTTAAATCAGTCACTCAGTGATGTAAAGATTTTGAAGAACTGGAAGAACTACAAGTTGAATTGCAATCATGAGCCTTTTCTAATCCTAAACTCAATAAAAGTGAATGTGAATTTCTGACCTCTTGAAATCCTTCAATGATGATCATCATACTGCCATTTTATGAATTATTATTTTTTAAGTTCTGGAATACAAGTGCAGGATGTGCAGGTTTGTTACATAGGTAAACGTGTGCCATGGTGGTTTGCTGCTGCACAGATCAACCATCACCTATTTATTAAGCCAGGCATTCATTAGCTCTTTTCCCTAATGGTCTCCCCCAGCTCCCATCCTCTTCTCTGACCCCGTTGTTTGTTGCTCCCTTCCCTGTGTCCATGTGTTCTCATTGTTCAGCTCCCACTTATAAGTGAGAACATGTATTGTTTGTTTTTCTGTTCCTGCATTAGTCTGCTGAGGATAATGGCTTCCAGCTTCATCCTTGACCCTGCAAAGGACATGATCTCATTCTTTTGTATGGCTGCATAGTATTCCATGGTGTATATGTGCCACATTTTCTCTATCCAGCCTATCATTGATGGACATTTGGGTTGATTTCATGTCTTTGCTATTGTGACTAGTGCTGCAATGAACACATGCATGCATGTAATATATCTTTATAATAGAATGATTTATATTCCTCTGGGTATTTACCCAGTAATGGTATTTCTGTGTCAAATGATATTTCTGGTTTTAATCTTTGATGAATCACCACACACTCTTCCACAATGGTTGAACTAATTTACATTCCCAGCCACAGTGTCTCTTGAATACAACATACTGATGGGTCCTGTCTTTTTATCCAGCTTGCCATATTCTGTGTCTTTTAATTGGGGCATTTAGCCTGGTGGCGACAAAATCTCTCAGCATTTGCTTGTCTGAAAAGGATTTTATTTCTTCTTCACTTATGCAGCTTAGTTTGGCCAGATACAAAATTCTGGGTTGGAAATTATTTTCTTTATGAATGTTGACTATTGGTCCCCAGTATTTTCTGGCTTGTAGAGTTTCTGCTGAGAAGTCCGCTGCTAGTCTGATGGGCTTCCCTTTGAAGGTGACCTGGCCTCTCTCTCTGGCTGCCCTTAACATTTTTTCCTTCATTTCAACCTTAGAGAATCTGATGATTATGTGTCTTGGGATTGATCTTCTTGTGGAGTATCTTACTGGGGTTGTCTGAATTTCCTGAATTTGAATGTTGGTCTGTCTTTCTAGGTTAAGGATGTTCTCCTGGATGATATCCTGAAGTATGTTCTTCAACTTGATTCCATTCTCCCTATCTCTTTTGGGTACTTCAATCAGTCATAGGTTTGGTCTTTTTACATAGTCCCATAGCTCTGGAAGGTATTGTTCATTGCTTTTATATTTTTTTCTCTAATCTCGTCTGCCTGCCTTATTTCAGAAAAGTAGTATTCAAGCTCTGATATTCTTTCTTCTGCCTGGTTGATTCAGCTATTAATACTTGTGTTTGCATCATGAAGCTCTCATGCTGTGTTTCTCAGCTCCAACAGGTCATTTGTATTCCTCTCTAAACTGGTTATTCTAATTAACATTTCCTGTAATCTTTTATCATGGTTTTTGGCTTCTTTGCATTGGGTTAGAACATAATCCTTTAGCTCAGCAAAGTTTGTCATTACTCAGTTTCTGATACCTACTTCTGTCAGTTCATCCATCTCAGCTTCAGCCCTGTTGTGTGCTCTTGCTGAAGAAATGCTGAAATCATTTGAGAAGAAAAGGCATTCCAGCTTTTGGAATTTTCAGCGGTCTTGCACTGGTTTTTCATCATCTTTGTGGATTTATCTACCTTTAATCTTTGAAGCTGTTGACCTTTGGATGGGATTTTTGTAGGGTCTTTTTTGTTGATGCTGTTGTTATTGTTGCTTTCGTTTTTTGTTTTTCTTCTAGCAGTCAGTCCCCTCTTCTGCAGGTCTGCTGCAATTCGCTGGGGGTCCACTACAGATACTGTTCACCTGGGTATCATCGATGGAGGCTGCAGAACAGCAAAGATTGCTGCCTGCTCCTTTCTATGGAAGCTTCGTCCCAGAGAGGCACTTACCTGATGCCTGTTGGAACTCTCCTGCATAAGGTGTCTGGCAACCCCTGTTGAAAGGTCTAACCCACTCAGGAGGCCCAGGATAAGGAAACAACTTTAGGAAGGAGTCTGGCTATCCCTTAGCAGAGATGGTGCAGTGGGCTGGGGGAATCCCCCTTGTCTGGATCTCTGATACTCTTCAGAGCCAGCAGGCAGGAAAGATTAAGTTGGCTGAATCTGAGACCACAGCCACCCCTCCCCACAGGTGCTCTGTCCCAGGGAAATGAGAGCTTTGTCTGTAAACTCCTGGCTGGAGTTGCTGGAATCCCTGCAAGGATGCCTTGCCCAGTGAGGAGGGATGGATCCCGGTCCCACCTCAAGAAGCAGTCTGGCCATGATCTGCTCCAGGGGCTGTGCTGCACTGTGAAGACTGCTGCCCAGTCCAATCTGCCCAGCCTCCCTAGCACTGGGAGGGGAAAACCGCTTACTAGAGCTGCAGTAACAGCAGTCCCCCCTCCCTTGAGGACTTCGGTCATTTTAGGCCTAATCTAAGCTGCTATGCTGGGTAGTGGGGATTCTAATCCAGTGGATCTAAGCTTGCAGGCTTCTGTGAGAGTGGACATGCTGAGCAAGGCCATTTTGCTCCCTGGCTTCAGCCCCCTTTCCATGGGTGTGGATGGGACTCCTGCCTCACTAGAGTTCCAGGAGCTGCTGGACTGTGTAAAAACTCCTGCAGCTCAGTGCCTGCCCAAACAGCTGCCAACCAGAACAGCAGCCGTGGGTCTGCCCAGTTTTGTGTTGAGACCCAAGGCCCTGATGGTATATGCTCACGAGGGGATCTCCTGAGCCCTGGATTGCAAAAATTCTGGAAAAAATAGTACCCCGGGTGGGTAGCAGAGTCCCTCACTGCCTCCCTTGCCTGAAGGAAGGAGGTCCCTTTGTCCCATGTAGCTCCTGGGTGAACTGCCGCCCACACTGCTTCTCCTTGCTTTCTGTAGGTTGCACTAACTGCCTAGATAGTCCCAGTGAGAGGATTTGGGTACCTCAGTTTGAAATGCAAAAATCACTTGCCTTGTGTATTTTCCTCTGCTGGAGCTGCAAACCAGAGCTGTTTCTTCTCGGTCATCCCTTGCCTTTTTCTTTCTCTTTTTACTTACTGTTCTTCTGCGCATATCTCTTTTGTATAATCACACATTAATTCTACTACAGCTTGAGCCTCCTTCTACAATCAGCTTTCATTCAGGGGATATCAAAAAGCAAAGGTGAACTTTCACCCTCGGTAAAAATTAAATGTTATGACCATCTTAGTTAGTAAAAGGAAAGCATGCCAGGGAGTAGAGAAGAGGGTTCTCTCAGCACTATCTCCAATAAAAGGTTAAGACCATAGGGAGACAGAGAGGGGAAGACATCGTGAGGATTCATCAACACAGTTTAAGCAGGAAATATGAACTATTTGGTTAATTCTTATGAGGAAACGAAAGAAGACTTGTTAGATTAAACTCCTTCAGTCATTGTGGTTCTTTGTGATCAGAGAAAGAAAAACTGAGAGATCAGGAAGAGAAGAGACAGATGGATAGAGTAAGTAGGGGGGCCACAGGAAACAAGGAAAAGAAACAGGCTGAGGTGTCAACCCACAGGACAATGTTTTGTCATTTTCTTTTTTTCCTCCCACAGGAAGAAACTAAGTTCCAGTACTTGGATGTCAACTTGCTGACGACAAGGCACTTCCTTACAATGAGCCTGGAATTCTAAGCAGCAGTTTCACAATCTGTAATTGCACGTTTCTGCCCTTTACAATAAAGAAATACACAGTTTCCTTTCATTTCTTAGTCTGAGGCTCTTTTCAATGCTGTAGGAAAGAACACAGGCTGTTACCTATGGCAGGTGATTCCTTTTCTGACTAGGAACTTGGTAGTAGGATCTTAGAAAACACTTGATTTATTGATGTGTAATAAACATAAGAAAGGAGGTGAGCCATTAGCATGCATGCTGAATTCTTTTTCTTACTGGTTGTGCGTAGTTTGAATCACAGGACCTGGTGTTAGAGATACTGAAGGAGATCATAGTTTTCCAGAGGTCTTCGAGCCAGAAAGAAGTTAATTCCTTTCTTTCAGCTTCTGGTAATCAAAGGGAGGGTAAAGAAAGGTAGAGGAAGTTATTTGTGTGAGACAAGTCTAGAAGTTGCAAAATGCACTCTGAAATCTTTCTCTTGATTCCAAATTAATTGCCCAGATCATAAACATTCCTCCCCGAATCAGACCTGAGAGCCTCTGAATTGTTAACCTCTTTGTCATCTCTTATTGTGAATTATATCCTTGGTCTGTTTAAAGTGATTCCATTTTTACCCCTTTCTCTGGTCGCGGTACTGACTACTTTAATGCAATATTTCATAGGTAACTATCACATTTGTGTGGTTGTTGCTGTTGTTGTTTTTAAGTGGTCTCCCTCTCTCCAGGACTTAACTCTCCGATCCATTCTGCACACAACTTTCGGGTCTCCTGTCTTATATAACGACGCTGAAAAAGCCTAAGGGATAGTCATGAGTTACTTAGGCAGCCAGTATTCCAGCAGGTCATAACACTTCTTTGGCTTCATTCTCCTCATAGGAAAAGGGAGAAATTGGACTAGATCAGTGGATTCTAAACCTTATAACATATCACAGTAATCTGTAATCATATTTAAAAAGTCTGATCACTACCCCCTTCCTCACTCTGAATAGCTCAGTCTTAAATATCCTGCAGGCATTTATTGCCTTTTGAAGATCTGCAGATAATTCTTATGGAACTGACCTGGCATAGGTTTGTCTACAGATTAGAGTTATTAATAAAGTTGACCAGTTATTTAACTCTCTCTGCTTATCTGCTAGTGATCTATTAATGTAATTAACTTTGCTCAGGGACATACTGTGGCTCCTTATTGCCTTTTTTAAAAAAAATCTGAACTTTCAGACAAGTTTTTCTACCTTCTGAAACATGTGTATTCATTTCTCCATTAGTCCCTATAAAGCATTATTTCAGCTTCATAACAAAATTACTGTATTTACTTCACTCATATTTCTTTGTTGTTGAGTTTCTTTATTACTTTGATTCTCCCTATAGAGCAATTCTATCCGGGGTTTATGTCTCACCTCACAACATTTAACTTAATCTCCAGAATCAAAGGATCATTAGATAATAGATGGGAAAAATTGAAAGCCACTAGTCAAAAACAAGTCATGATCTGGTAATTATAAACAACTAAGTGTAGTCAGCTATTGTTACCTTAAACTCCTGAGGAATTGTATCCTATAATGTGTTTAAGCATTACATCACTTTACCGGGAGCCTAAACTATGGTCCTGATGAGTTTTTTCCTCTAATTGATTCCTTCCATTTTTATTACCACTGCAGCTTTCATTCAGTGATTATTATAACAAAAAATAATCTGTAATAACCATTTCTTTAAAAAATACTTACCATATGATAGCTATTTAATGTACTCTCTCTGGTTTAATATTTAAAACCAATCAATACAGTTGTGCTATTATTGCCATATTATAGTTGAAGGGGATACTTAGAGAATGCCTTCAAAATATGCTTTAGGTCAAAAGTCTGTTGAGAGGAGTGATCTCAGGTTGGCGTGACTCTCAAACTCTGCCATTACTCTACCTTTCTGCAAACATCTTCAAATACTTGCCCTGCCTCTGATCACTCCTACTTCAGTCCTGGCTTCACATTTATATTCCTTCTAAAGCCCAGCTCTCCCAGTTTTGTGGTTATACCAGACATTCAAGCCTTTGTGCTTCTTCCCACACTGCTCTCTGCCAGGATACCAACCCACAGTTGTTCACTGGACAAATTCCTACTAGTCCTTCTGGTTTCAGTGCCCAGCCCTCTCTTCTCTGGAGAGCTATCTTCCACCTACGACACGCTTTACCTATGCTTTTATTGAGTATCTGCTCATTATGTACATTCTTATAAAATGTTTCATTTTACTTATTTGCATATCTATCCACTTGACTGCAAGCTTTAAAGTGTACAAACATGTTTCCAAAATGGTACCCCTAATACTAGCAGAGTAAGTTTTAAGAAATGATGATCATTAGATATTCCTGAATGGGGCTGGGCGCTGTGGCTCACGCCTGTAAACCCAGCACTTTGGAGGGGTGAAGTGGGTGGATCACCTGAGGTCACTCATTCAAGACTAGCCTGGCCAACATGGTGAAACTCTGTCTCTACTAAAAATATAAAAAAATTGGCTGGGCATGGTAGCACATGCCTGTAATCCCAGCTACTTGAGAGGCTGAGCCAGGAGAATTCCTTGAAACCGGGAGGCGGAGGTTGCAGTGAGCCGAGATTGCGCCATTGCACCACAGCCTGGGCAGCAAGAGTGAAACTCTGACTCTCTCTCTCTCTCTCTCTCTCTCTCTCTCTCTCTCTCTCTCTTTCTCTCTCTCTCTCTCTCTCTCTCTCTCTATATATATATATATATATATATATTCCTGAATAGATAGGGGAATGAATATGCCTTCCTTCTGCTTGAAACTTCCAATGTGCACTTATCATCTGTTAAATGAAATCAAACTCACCTGGTTTGCTATTAAGAATTTGTTACTGTTCAATGGGTTCACCTTGCCCACTGCTTAGACAGAGCTGATTTGTTAGGGTAGGGGAATTGCAATCAGGAAACAGTAATTGACTCACAGCCGGCTGTGTGGGTGATCAGAGTTTTGTTATTACTTGAATCAGTCTCCCCGAGCATTCAGAAATCAGAATGTTTAAAGATAATTTGGCAGGTAAGGGCTAGGGAAGTAGGGAGTGCTGATTAGTTAGGTGGGAGATGGAATCATAGGGTGTCAAAGTGAGGTTTTCTTGCTGTCTTCTCTTCCTGGGTGCTATGGCAGCCTGGTTGAGTTAGATTATGGGTCGGGGTGGTGTCAGCTGATCCACTGAGTGCAGTGTCTGAAAAATATCTTAAGTGCTGATCTTAGGTTTCACAATAGTGATATTATCCCCAGAGCATGTTGGGGACGTTCAGACTCTAGGAGCCAGAGGTTGCATGACCCTTAAATTGTAATTTTTAATCTTGTAGCTAATTTGTTAGTCCTGTAAAGGCAGACTGGACCCCAGGCAAGAAGGGGTCTTTTTGGGAAAGGACTGTAATCAATTTTGTTTCAGAGTCAGACCATGAACTGAATTCCTTCCCAAAGTTAGTTCAGCCTATGCCCAGGAATGAAGAAGGACAGCTTAAGTGTTAGAAGCAAGATGGAGTTGGTTAGGTCTGATTTCTTTCACTGTCATAATTTCCTCAGTTGCAATATTACAAAGGCGGTTTCAATCCCTTCCTTTGGGTTTTATAACAGCTTAATCTTAAGATGTAGGCTATGAAGATGGGAAAAGGCTGTTGATCACACTGGCTTCCATCTGCTGACAGGGGACATAGTGGAAATTGGAGTGAACCCCAAGGTGAGAAGACTGGAACTGCTTTGCAACTGCCAGACCATACTTATGCAGGCCTGGCTGGGCTTCCAATGCTTACATGGCAAAAACATTAGTATTGTCCTTGTAGGTTTCCTACAGTATTCAAGAGAACAGCCTCCTGTAAGGTATAAAACAAATCCTAGGATAAGGAGTACAATTCTCAATTTTAAAAGGAAAGATTCTAAAAAGAATTTTAAAAGGAAAGATTTGAAAGCACTAGTTTAGAGACTTCTAATCCACAAATATTTTGGGATTTATTCCAAATTGCAGAAAAAAAAAACTCAAGGACAGCTAACAACAGGTGTATTATAGATTTTCTTTCAAAGCATAATTTTTCTCTTTCCAGACTCATTTTTATTAAGAACAAATTATGATAGAAATAATTTGTTTACAAAAATAAGCTTTAGTCTTACTGTACTTGACCTGATTATTTGCATAAGGTGCAACAGATAATTATTTTTCAGTTAGGCTGTTTTTTGTTTAAATTGGCTTTGATGGAACTCTGTTCCATGAGCAATCTCAGGTAAGACTTTTCAAGAGCCGAGTCCAGCCATGCGTTCGTACACTCAAATACCTATGAGTTGGGTAAATTCCTCTCCTCTCAAGGTCCCAAGATAAATTGGAGCTCCTGAACCTGTTAGACAGTGATATTCTTCACTTACCAGAGATCAAGAAACTTGTACAAGGACTCTGTGTAGACAAGGTATGAAGCCAGATTCCCCAAGGGATTTCATTGTTTCTATGAGTCAACTTCGATTCTTTAAAAGAAGCACAGCATTCCAGTCAAAGCCTTGATAAAACAACCAATTTCTCCGATTGTGTCCTGTTACAAAAAAAGAAAAAAAAAAAAAATCTTATTGCACTTATGCAATTAACTATGCTCCCATAAATTGTGAATACTTACAAATAGCTTCCAAATTCTGGAGAAATCAGATAGAGAGAAACAAAGATGGTTCAAAATTTTTTCACCAGAGCATATTTTACTCACTTGTTAAAAGTTGCAAATAGCTCTAAAGAAATAAGTTATCTTGACTCTGAAAACAAAAGGATTAGTGATATTTAACATATAAGGTCTTCATGAGAGTCCTAGAAGTTTCATTTTTTCCTCCATTCCAATAGCACAATTTTTAAAGTTATCTGACACCTGCATTCAAAGTCCTATATCTGATTATAAACTGCCATTTGAAAAGGACCAAAGCAAGACAAAATATCTGTTGATGACAAAAGCCTATAGACACTATTAAAGTTATAATTGACTAGGAATTTGGCTTACTTCTGTGGCATCCCACAATTTTACATAACAATGATAATTACTAATAATGTACACTAAATAATATCAGAATTACAGAAGTTTATATAAATACACAGACAGAAAACTCCGGGCTTGTAAGATTTTTCATTTGCCAGCTTTAAATTGGATTACTAGCTTCAGGGTGGAGCCCTTGGAGGAACAGGGTCAGGAAAGCATGCATTTTTTTCTGAGCTAAATAAGCAGCCACAGCTGAAGGGAAAGACAGATCTCCAGAATTAAGGGTGTCATTTTATACTGGATGCTTGATCCCCAAAAGGAGGAAAATACTACCAGAGAAGACAGTGTGGTGCTTCTACCCTGCATTTTGTTGCAAGGCAACCTAAAGCCAATCAGCCCATTTTGAAATCAGCCCATCCCCCATGGGAATCTCATCTCTCAGTCAAGGGTAAGGATGTTTCCATATCTTCCAGGTGTCCAAGTGCATGTTTCTCTAATCCAAGTGTGCAAAGAGCCAAGTATGCCTCCAAAAATACTCTTGGCCATCCATTAAATATATTTCCTACCTAGTTATTACATACCAAAGCTCTCTCATAATGCAAAGTAATTTCTGATCCCCCCAAAACTCAAACTGTCAGATAACACAATGCAAAACAGAATAGAGCCTTTGATTTTGATAGGGATCTATCTACTGTTAATTCCTGGGGTTTCGGGAAGAAAACAGAGCGGTTTCTTTTTGTTTGCTTTTTGTTGTTGTTTTTTTTCCAAAACGAGGTCTATGGTGCCTCCTCTGTTTTTCCCAAGGAGTCGCAGGCTACCAGAAGTTATTTTAGGGCCTCTCATGTGTGCATTAAAAGTGGCAAGACAAAAAATGGAAAAAAATAATTCAGTTGACTAAGAAGAAAAAAACTCCCCCCTCAGATAAGTAGTGATTGAATTTCTATCAATATACGTTAGTTTTTTTCTAATTTAGAACTTTATATAATTGGAATCCCAGGGTATGTGTTCCCTCCTATATGGCTTCATTCACTCATAATGAATGCAGCAGTTTTTTCATTCATATTATTACATATCTTAGTAATATTTCCCTTTTATGACTGAACAGCATTTCAGTGTATGTATATAGCACAAATTATTTACTTATGCTCCTGAATTGGTTATTGAGTTGTTTCCAGTTTTTGACATCTCCATTTTTGAGGAACAGTGGGCCCTTGCAATCTAGTTGCTCAATGTTTAGCTTCCCAGGACATGAGACTCAAGGCTTATGGTTCTACATCCCCAGATATATGGTCTAGTCATGATTTCTGTGTCCTGGATGCCGCTTTGGCATGCTTCAACTCAGTGGTTCCTGGCTCTATCTGGGGAAGAAACCTTCACGTGAAAGTTAGCAGAAAAAATAAATTAATCAGTAAATAAATTTAAAAGCAAATGATTGGAAGAGAAGTAATTTACAGGCAATTTCTGCTTTCTTTCATGCTACAAATCCTCCCAGTGGCAAGGAGCACAAGATTGTGCTGCAAATGGATTAAGTCATTGCCAAAGTAAAGATAAAACTTTGCCTGATTTTCTCACCCCAGAAAGTTTTTCATGCCCATTGTACTCAATTTCCTGCCACTTCCTCCTAAGATAAGTAGTGATTAAATTTTTACCACTATACATTAGTTATTTCTAATATAAACCTTATTTAATTGGAATCACAGGATATATGTTCCTTTGTATATGGCTTCTTTCACTCATCATGAAATCATAATGTTGTCATCCATGTTACTGCATAAATTAGTATTTTTTTCTTTTGTGACTGAATAGTATTTCAGTGTATGTGTATAGCACAAATTGTTTACTTATGCTCCTGAATTGGATATTGAATTGTTGCCAGTTTATGACATCTTCATTTTTGAGGAAACAGTGAGACCTTGCAATCTAGTGGCTCAATGTTTAGCTTCCCAGGACAAAAGACTCATGGCTCATGGTTCTACATCCCCAGATACATGGTCTAGTCATGGCTTCTGTGTCCTGGATGCCATTTTGTCATACTTTAACTCACTGATTCATGGCTCTGCCTGGGGGCGAAAACTATGTGTGAAATCCTTAAGTTAATAGAGAAAATAAAAGAATCTGTACATAAATGTAAAAGTAAATGAATGGAAGAGAAGTGATGCACAGGTAATTTCTGCTTTCTTCCATGCTCCAAATCCTCCCACTGTCAAGGAGCTCAAGATTTTGCTGCAATCTGACTAGGTCATTGACAAAGTAAAGATAAAAAAAAAATCATGAGAAAGCCCCTTGGGTTAAAAGCCACATCATTTTCCTTCTACACAGTGCATTCTAGTCTAACCTAAACACGTTTAACTCATCGCTTAGAGCACAGGAAGTAACATTGGTGGCCCACATGTCAAAAGGTGGATGTTTTTGTGACTCCTGGTCCTTATTCTCCAAAGATAACAAGGTAATGACACAAGAAAGTTTTTGTTAAAGAAATTGATAAATGTAAAGTACTGTCTGCATTTTTTTTATTAGTCCAACTTGCATCAAAGAGGTTCATAAAATAAATTGGCCTCATTGAGTTTATTTCTGGAATTATCAATTGAACATGTGCTTGCAAAGACAGAGACCTCTTCTGGCCTTCTCTGGCTTCTCATTCTACAGTTTTCATGAGTCCTAAAACATTTTGTCTCCCATTTCTCCAATTAATTTCTTATTCTTCTCATCACTTGCCATATTTGCACATTCTGAATATTCCAGTTACATACTACATACCAGGCTTCATGTTTGTCTTCCCCTCTTGTATGTGAGAGCAAGGGGGAAATGACCATGATATGTTTTGACTGAACCCCTGGCTCCTAGAACCATATCGTCCATATATATTTGTTGAGTGAATGACTAGATGCACTGCTTGAAGAGTCTAACGAAAGATAAACTTAGCTGGATAATCTGCAAATAATTATCCTTGATTTTTCTAATGTAAAATATTTGTATTAATTATAGTAATATCACTCATTATCTGCTTACCATTTGCCAGGCAATGTTGCATGCATTTTGGACATTTTGTCTCACTTAATGCTCAATGTGTAGGTATGTACTATTATTAAAATTATTTCACAGGCAGAGGAACCAATGCATAGGGAAGTTCAATTTCTTGCCCAAGAAATGAAGTTTAAGATGCTAAGTTCAACATTCTGAGTCCAGAGCCTGTGCTCCAGGCCTCTATGAGGTAATGTTCCTCAAAAGAAAGCCATCCAGGATGGGTGGGTGGCTCACAGCTGTAATCCCAGCAGTTTGGGAGGCCAACGTGGGTGAATTGCTTGAGTGCAGAATATCAAAAACAGCCTAGGAAACATAGGGAGACCTTGTCTTTACAAACATAAAAATATTATCCAGCCGTGGTAGCATGTGCTTGTGTTCCCAGCTACTTGGGAGGCAGAGCTGAGAGGGTCATCTGAGCCTAGGGAGGTGGAGGCTGCTGTGAGCCCTGTTAGTGCCACTGCACTCCAGCCTGTGTGACAGAATAAAATTCTGTATCAGAAAAAAAAATCTGAAAAGGAAGGACATTAAATAGGAAAAGCTTTAATTTTTGTGAAAAATGTGTTCATTTCTTGAAGTAAAATTGCTTCACAGGGACATACATTTCCCATGACTTTCCCTAGACTGTGAAATGGGCCCAGGAGAGTAGGGGTTCAAATTCTCTAAAGGTTGTGTTACTTTTCTCCATCAAGTTTTCTAATGAATGAGAAACTCTTCACTGTGTGAGTTTAATTGTACACATACTTTGTCATTCTTGTCTTATTCTCCAAGCCGCATTCCCCTCTTACCCTGACTTGTTCCAAAAGCTGGTGAAGAAAATTTCCCAAAGATACACTCTCTGTTGCAGTCTACAGTTCAGGAATGTGATTCTCACTCTATTAAAAATATGAAAAAATAAAAAAAAAGACATGCGTATGCATGTGCAGTGGTTGTTTCCCAATAAGTGTACACGCCCTGCCAAAAAGGTATAAAAGGAAGGTGAAAAGAAAGGTGAAGCATGCTTTCAGTTTCAGCTCACACAAGAAGGGAGGAGAGAAAAGCATGGCCGGTGAGTCTTTTACTGTCCCAAAAACAGGTCCCTGGGAGGAAAGAGTTGTGGAAGGCGCTGGCTCTTTTGGAAGCTATAATTAGTATCTGTGGAAGTTTACTTGAGCAGAAGTGAGGGAGAGGGAGGAGAGGGAGGAGAGAAGAAACTAGTTGACTCTTTCAGTCTTTAGAAAGGAAAGGCAAGCCCAGAAAGGAACTGAGGCTTTAGGAGCAGCCTGCTGTCATTTTGCAATCTTATTTAAACTCTTACATCTTGTAAGTGTGGCAGAGGCTACAGAATTGGCACAGGAGGAGTACTAGCAGCAGTGGTTCCTAAATGAAATGGGCTATTTCTGCTTCATTACTTTATTATTCTGAGTTAAATAAACATGGGACATAAGAGGATGATCTCTGCTTTCCAGGGACTGATGTGGAAATGGTAAACTCAGTCTTCAGTCCACTCCATGCACATGTATGGAGACTACTGAGGGAAACAAGAAGGACAGCGATAAAGTAAGAGGAGGGATAACCCAACTGTGAGGAGGGGGACATTTCACTGATGAAATCTAAATGAGGTCACTTTCTGTTGATGACATGAGAAGAATATGAGGCTGTGTTCATGATGTGAGACATCCTTGTGCTCCAAACAGACATGATCCTCCTGAAGAAGAGACGGCTGCTTATCAATTCATTGGGTGAAGGTACAATAAATGGCTTACTGGATGAATTATTGGAGACAAATGTGCTGAGCCAGGAAGACACAGAGATAGTAAAATGTGAAAATGTTACAGTTATCGATAAGGCCCGAGATTTGCTTGACTCTGTTATTCGGAAAGGGGCACGGGCATGTGAAATTTGCATCACATACATTTGTGAAGAAGACAGGTACCTGGCAGGGACGCTGGGACTCTCAGCAGGTAAGGGTCAGTGACTCACACTCAAGTTCACCTAGGGCCTGTCATTGTGACTACCATGTGATGTCTTTACTAGCCATGTTAAGTTGCAGAAAACTTCCTTCTCTCTGGCTTTGGGCAATATTTCTGTAGCAGGGGCCCTATTGCATATCCCTTGACTCTCCTTCGTTTCTGTTCCTTCATCCTCAGTGGCCCTCTTCTGATTAAAGCTCATTTCCTGTTCTGAGTACATGGTAGCTAATTTCCTGAAGCTCTTGAGAACTATCTAAAAATCTTCACACTATATGTTCCACTGTTCCTGGTGAGGCACAATATTTATTGATTGATTTAGTATTTTTGAGTCCAGGCTGTACCCAGGCACTTATGTAGTTGTCTGACATGAAGTTTTAAGTCTGTAATTAACTACATTTTGTACTTCTCTCCAAAATTTTGCCCTCCAAGAAGAATAAATTATATTTCAAAAGTGGCGATATACTCAGAGAATACACTGAATGATTATAGAAAAGTAAGGATTTCAAGTTGGCTTTTTCCTCCCGTTGCCTCCTTGCATTTTCTTTTGAGTAAGATCACCCACTTGCCTGTTATCAGGCTGTGGATCATGCTGTGAGCCCTGGACTGCCTCCATTTGTGGCCACCTTGTGACCTGATACAGTGCACAGGAAATGAGTTGGCCCATTCCTGTGATCCCTTGGACCTACCCCATGGTGAGGATGAGAGTTCTGGTGGACTCCTAGTTACTGGTCTCTGTGGTACTTTCCAATGCCACTTCAGAGGCAGATGTTCTTTCAAAGTAAAAGGCTTTTTAAAAAAAAAAAAAAAAATTTTATTTTTCTAAGGGTTAGAGGAAGCTTATGCCTGTCTAAGCAGACATGGGATAAGTTTATGTTTTCATCTATGTGTAATAAATATCATATTTTTCTGAAAACGTCTCTTTCATTTTATACCCCCCACCACTCTCTAAATTAAAGACCATCTTGAGCGTTATTTAATGTCGTTCAGTCAGGGTTGTGGGAGGAATCTTTAGTGGGGAGTGTTGTAGGCATCAGGGTAAAGTTTTCCAGAGATGATAAGTGACTATTTCAATGTCCTTCTTCTTTTTCTGCTCCATCATCTGGAAGTCACCTTACTACACAAGACTCTCAAGTAGTAATTCCTCCTAGGTAATGCTGTTTTTAAAGGAAGAGCATTCTTTGAACCCTGTTTTCTTTGACATTAATGTTGTAGAATGAACCACAGTTAAAGGGGCTATGGAGAATTCCCACAGAGTGATCATATAATTTTCTTTTTGTAATCTATTCTGCTTTTGTAGCAACTGTCAAAACAGCTTCACTATCTATGTTTATATTAAAAATTCGGAATCTGTGTCTCAAACCCTGATCACCCAAATAAGTACCAAACTTCATCATTTAAGCCTACTGAAATAGTCCCTCACATCTTCCAGAGACACCTTTATCTAAACAATATCAGAGCTGAACATGCCATTCTTCCACACCTTGCTTCTCTTCCAGTTTTGTGTAACTCGGTTGTTGGTGTCACCATCACTAGTTGTTCAAACCAAGCACTTGAAACTCATCTTGGCCCCTTTCCTTTCACGCATCTCCAATATTCAAGCCATGGCCAAGTTTTATGCATTCTTCTCCCAAATTTGGAACTGTGTCTGCATTTCTACTTCTATTTCATTAAAAAACCCCTATTCATCAAGGGCCCTCTTCTATTTAGAAACAATTTAGAGGCTAGAAATGCACATTTTTTTAATCAAGGTCAGGCATTACTCTATTGAATTTATTAAGGTTGATTAATTCATGTATGTATCCTTAAATATTTTAGAGCATGGGATATTCACTATATAATGAAATACTGTATTTTCACTAAGAAAAAATACCTCAGAAATAACCCATATATTTCTATTTTGTTTTTTTATATTGTTTTCATTCTTCTTTCTCAAGAAACCAAACATTTATTCTATCAAATTATTATTTTATAGTTTACTCCAATATATCCATTCTAATTATTTCTTCCCCATGTCACCACACTTCATGCTGCCTTTATTTGTCTAACTGATTGTATAACAGTTTCTCAACCTTGTTTTCAAAATTAAATATTATTTTCTTGACTTAATAGTTTCTAAAAGATACTCCACAAATCTAGAAAACTCATTTCTATCTTGAAACAAAGATTACATTAACTTCTCTAACAAGTGATCACATTGTCAGATGGTGTTGAACCTGTGATGAAGTAAAAGTTTCAAGAATTTTCTCATATAAACTCTGTGAAAACATTTCCTCATAGGTCTGTGCAGTCAATGTTAAGTGCTATAAATCCATCTAGTGTGCTCTTTGATGTTAGCATTTATCATACTATTTTATATTCATTCTAGTTCATATAATTAATAATCTCCTCCTTCCATACATGTACATAGTAGGAAGAGATCCTGAAGAACAGGACAAGGGTTCATTAACAAAATATTCCTAGTGCTTACTACCATTTCCATTAATAAATAAATACAAACATAAGCATATCTCTCAGAAATTTTTAGTAGCTTTAATTAAGACTGCCTCCCATTAAATTTTATTCTATGGTTCAAATCTTTTGAAACAAATTTATATTCTAACGATTTGATCTTACACATTTGATTGTTTTCTGAGCATTTTATCATGCATGGCCTTGAAAATCTTCCTTTCTACATTTTTATCTGCAATATTTGTGAAAATACTGATCCTGAAATATGAAAGGAGATCCCTGTATTGCACACCTGGAATTCTCTGGCTGGAAATGTACTCCATTAGCAGTGAAATTACTCAGCGGTGAGAGATCAGGATTGTCTTCCTAAGAATGTATTTCCACTTTCGTGGCTTCATCCTTAGGTGAGGCTGTAAGAAACACAAAGCAGAACAAAGAGGGATGCCAATGTTCATGATATTCTTTGACTCTTGCGACTCCTCAGGCAGTGCCAGTGTGGGACAACCCTGCTATGCCTACATCCACAGGCTCAGGAGGAAGCGTTAAGCTTTGCTCCCTAGACTAAGCTAAAAGGATATGGAAAGAAAAGTTGACAGAGGTGCCATGCTCAGAACATAAGGATAGAGTGGGGTGAAAGATATACTTGTGGTGATTCTAAAATGCAGTGACTTTTTCTTAGAGCTGTTCTCAATGGAGAATCTTACTTCTGCTTCCCTTACATAAAAAAAAAAATTCCTGTATCCTAGAATCCCAGGTTTATAGAAACAGTTCCTAACTGCACCCAATTCCTGGATAAATAACATCAACAATGACAGCTATTGAATGTTCACTAACAGTGGCCGGTGTTCTAAGCATTCTATGATAATACATAATTTTTAACCTTAAAAAAACATTTTAGAGATCAAGAAGCTGAGACATGGGATTGTTAAATATTTTGCAAAAAGAAAAACAATCAGAAATTGGAGCAGTCAGTTTTAGAATTCAGTCATTCTTGCTTCAAAGCTTGTGCATTTTTCAAAATCCTACCTATCAACAGCAATGAAGTCAGTAGTTCACCTGCCATCTGGGCATTTGCAATTTCTATGCCTACTCTCGAAGTAGCACTCAATTCCATTAGCCATTTTCAATGTATAGTCCATGGGATTTGGTATCTTGATAGAATTAAGAAAGGGTAAACAGTCATAAATTTGCCAGGGGAATATTAAATTACAGAGAATAAATTACTGCTCATCCAAACTGCATTTCCTACACATTTATCCAATAATGGGCAAGTCAAGCCGCACACGTCTTGCTCATTATCTGCAACGAAGAGTTTGATAGTCTTTCTAAAATAACGGGAGCTGAGGTTGACATCATAGGCATGACGATGCTGCTGCAAAATCTGGGGTACAAGGTGGACGTGAAAAGAAATCTCACTGCTTGGGTAAGGTCTATTACACCTTAGAGAGAATGGTCACGCCCTTCCTATAACTAAATAATATTAGAAAGCTTGGTTGTAGGACCAAGAAATGTAATCTTTTGATAATATAAAATATAAACTTGCCATGGGAGGGTGCTGGATGCTACAAGTTCCCTTGAAACATCAGAGTCATTCAGCATAAGCCTGGTTTAACTTAATTGTGAAGTGCTTTTTTTTTGTTTAGTTTTTTGTTTTTCATTTCGTTTTCTTTTGTTTGTTTGTTTAACTCAGTAATGCCACGTTCTCTCTACAAGGTAACTCTGAATGACTTCCTAAAACCCCTTCCTTCACCTTTCTCGAAATTAAGACTTAAAGTTTTTTTGGCACTCCATTGTTTGTCATGGAATTCCTTAAGAAATCCTTAAGTATTTATTTATTGGCTTTCCAAGGTTCCATGAGAGTTAATTACATAGTCCAAAATCAGTGGTATGGTCTCTTTCAGGAAATGACTACAGAGCTGGAGGCATTTGCTCACCGCCCAGAGCACAAGACCTCTGACAGCACCTTCCCGGTGTTCTTGTCTCATGGTGTTCGGGAAGGCATTTGTGGGAAGAAATACTCTGAACAAGTCCGTGATATATTACAACTCAATGAAATATTTAAAATGTTGAATAGCAAGAACTGCCCAAGTTTGAAGGACAAACCCAAGGTGATCATCTTCGAGGCCTGCTGTGGTGGTGAGTGCTGATGTCCTTGAGAACACCAGACATTCTAATGCTGTCCTCATCTGTATGGATCCAGGGTTTTTCAGTTTATGTCTGTTTATTAATGTCAAAGAAAACGTAGTGTCATCACTCAACATGTGGCTTCTGTGAATTGTATGACTGGTTGGTAGATATTTGTTTCATTTTCAATCCTGAGACTTTGATGTTTGGTTGTTTTTAAAATTTGTTTGAGTGTTAGAAGAAATAAGAATTGTTGAAAAGATTGTTACTTGAATGAATGTGTGCATGTGTACGTGAATTAATGATACAGCAAATATATTGATAAATATGATTGAACAGAGGCTAAGAGGAGAACGTTGTCCTCTCAGCCACTGGTAGTAGTAACAAACCAAATTTTGTCTTTCCAGAGAACCATGGTGTGGTGTTGGTAAAAGATTCATTATGAGTCTCTGAAAATATATCTTTACCAACTCTGGGAGATTTTGAGGATGATGCTATTAAGAAAGCCCACATAGAGAAGGATTTTATTGCTTTCTGCTCTTCCGCATCAGGTAACAGGTTTCTTGTACACAGAATATCTTTGTGGGTGTTATCAATAGAAAAACTCACAACCACCCACTAGAGGGTAGATAAGTGTACAGAACTTTAGATAAGATTTTTGAACACAAACTAAAGCTTTGTTCCAAGTCATACACACAATTCTCTTTATCCACAGAGAGCAAGTAAGCACATCTTTTCATTGAGTTGGTAATTAATGAACTCCTCTCTGTTGCAAAATATTTTAGAACTGTGAGAGATAACAGAGAATTAAATGGAAGACGATCCGCGCTGTAGCACATAAGAATCTGACTCTGCGTAGGAAAGGTCCTCCATGTTGAGATCATTCAATGGACCAATAGGCCCCGACATCAAGTATTCACAGGAGACGAGTAGGAGCAGTGTTCAGCAAAGTAGAATAGCAAGCGAGGAACTTTGGGCCCCTAAATTAAAGTGGGTTTTACCTAGAAGCATGAAGTATATAAAGCAGAATATATATGCATTATTCTAAAGGTATGCTTTGCAGTAAGAATATTGCTATTATTGACTCATCTAGTCATTTAGTACTTTGTAAACTAGCTCCACTTTTTTATCCCTGGGCTTTCCTTGAATTGCTCACTAAAATATAGGAATATAAATATCATTTTTCTATGGATTAAATAAATTAATATATGTGAATTATTGCACATGACACAGAAAGAAGTACACGTTAAAGGACTGGTGTTATTTAAAATGTTTTTATCGTAGAACTTAATCCAGTTACTTTTCTTAGCAAGGTTTAAATAAAGATCACTTGAATGCTTTCATCCACCTTGTATGGCAGTTTCCTGAGAGGACTTGCATTCTCTTGGTCACCTCTGGCCCAAACGCCCAGCCCCTGCTCAAATAGTTAAATTTTCTATAATATTTTGTACAATGAGATATCTTCTTTCAGAAGAAGTTTGGTTCTATATTGTCTTGAACATGCCCTGATGTAGAACTCTATATTTTTTCAATGATCAAAAACAATGAAAAGACACACACCAAAAACATACATTTCCAGTCTGAGTACATATAGTAGACTTTAACATTAGACAGAACTGTTCTTTAATATCTTTTGGTCCCAGCCTTCCACATGACATTCACAGTTCTCTATTTAGCTCTGTATATAGCTATTTTCCAAAACCCAATTCCTTCCCTTTAACCCATTCTGCCTTTTCCTAACTCTCTACTAAATTTACGACTGTGTGAACTCAGGGACTATGTCATTTTAATGCCTGCAACATATACAGCACCGGTTAGAGTATAAGTAAAAATACACTCACTGAACTTCAAATGGATTCACTAAAATTACAATGAAGTGTAGGGAAAATAGATGAATTCCAAAACATGCCTCAGCTGGAGCAGAAATACTAGAGTTTCTTCTCTTTCTTCAGGCAAGAGCCAGTCTTGAGATGTGAAATGTGCTTTATCAACTGATAATGTTTCTTGGAGACATCCCACAAAGGGCTCTGTTTTTATTATGAGACTCATTGAACATCTGCAAGAATATGCCTGTTCCTGTGATGTGGAGGAAATTTTCCGCAAGGTAGGGCTCTGGTGGATGCTATTTTCACTCTACTTCCCTGAATGCTTGGCTATTGCAATTGGAAGCATAGAAAGCAGATCCAGACATGTTTATCCTCCAATAATACCCTTCTTTCCAAAAGAGTTTTGAAATTCTTTGGAGAGTGAACAAGCCTGGGAGCCAAATCCAATCTATTAAGACCCACAGGCTCAATAAAACAATCATTTATTTTCACCCTTCCCCTGACCTGCAGAGACAAATGAGCGGACTCTAATTCGCCTGTGTCTCCCTCATGGCTATTAGAGCCAACCGCAGATTTAAAAAGCCCCAAGGAGGGTCATTCAATGCTTAGATAAGCACATGGCTATACTTGTTGCAGACACAAGTACTTTTTGTTTTTGTCACTTATTTTGCTATATTTGTTGTAGTCTTTTTGGCATGAGTCAACAAACTTTTCAGAAAAACCGGTCTCCAGACTTTCCTTTCTCTTTCGGGTTCGACTTTCATTTGAGCAGCCAGATGATAAAGCACAGATGCCCAGCACTGAAAGGATGACTTTGACAAGACGTTTCCACCTCTTTTCAGGACATTAAAATAAGGAAGCTGTATGAATATCTGAGGGCAGGTATGTGTGTGTGGTTGGGAGTGTGGGAAGGTTAAGGAAAGCGTACTGAAAGTCCATTTTAGTCCAGGACTCTAGGTCTACAGGCCTAGAATTTTTAATCCAAAAATTTAAATTTTGAAATGATCTGAAATCCAAAACTGTGTGAGAACCCACATGATATTCAAAGGAAATGCTTATAGAAGCATTTCAAATTTTAGGATTTTGGAATAAGGATGCTAAACCAGTAAATATAATGCAGATATTCCAATATACAAAAATATCTGAAATTCAAAATATTTCTGGTAGCATGCGTTTTGGATAAGGGATAATCAATCCATAGTATAATATACAGAAAATACTGAAGTAATGCCTTTCTTCTGGTCACTGCAGAGCACGCTGCTCTTCTTCCAAAGTTTTTCTTTTAGACTCTTTCTGAGTGTCGGCTGATAGGAACCTAGAAGTGGCCGTAAGACTATGAACCCTCACTTTTAGATATTTCTCCCCTTCACCTCAGCAGGGTAACATTTTAAAATAGCATGCAGTCTTTCCTTTTAAGATTGTGTGTGTTCTCATTGGTGGTATAACTTTATTACTTACATTTCTTTTAGCAAAATTCTCTTTTATGTTTTTTTTATCCCCCCCATAGATAACCAAGGCTTCCTTCATTCTATAATGGTTTTTGGAATTATATCTGTTTAATAATAGACTTTTTTGAATATTTTAATAAATTTGATATAAAAATAAAAACGTGTCCTCAGTTTCTTTCCACAGTGGAGAAACAGAGGTTGGAAATCAGAGGAAGTATTGAATTTAGAATGTTAGGCTTAATTCATAAGACCTGAACTGCGTATTAGCACCATTTTTTCATTCGAAAAACCATTTGCTGGGGTTTCTGCTTTAGGGATGCAGATACAAATTACCACAGGTACCTGACTTCAAAAAATTTGGAGCTCAGCAGGAGAGATGGGGAGAAGACAGATAGTTATGACAGTGACAGTGCAGTGTGATAAGAGACTTTTCCCAAATCCCACAGTTCACTACTGACAAATCCATGAGTAGAACCTGCATATTTCTACTCTTTGTTAAGGTATTTAAGAGAGAGAAAGTAAATTTTGAATTAACTCTAGACCCTTAGTAGTTGACAGACTTCTTGCAAAGGTAAGACAGCCATCAAAAATGAAGCGCTTGGCAGACAGTGCATGACACCCTGAAGAAACTCTAGGATCCATGGTGTGCGCAGTGAAGTCCCTGCATGGTGCAGATAAAACAAGTTTGGGGTGAAATCATTCACTCAGGGATGTTAAGATTTAGGGAGGATTCGAAGAACTACCATTTCTCCTGCAAATATGAGCCTTTTCTAATCTTTAACCTATAAATCAAAGTGAATATCTGACCTTTTAAAAATCTTCATAGTTGAACACATTACAGACCCCCTTATTTCTGGCCTTTTATTAACTGTCTGGGCATATCTTTTCTGTACTATCATGCATATTCTACTACAACCTGAGACTATATCTGTGATCAGTCTTTGCTCAGCGAGTATCAAAAAGCAGAAGTAAATTGTCACCTTCCGTAAAAATTAACTGTTAATGCAATCTTAGGCAGTTGAAGGAAAGCTTTCCCGGGAGTAAGGGGATTCCTTCCGAATGATCTCCAATCAAAAGGTAGGATGACCAGGAGATGTGGAGGAGAAGACACCGTCATGATTTCTCAGCACAGTTTAAACAAGAAATACATTTATTGAATAAAAAATCCTTTCGTTATTTCTTTTTTGTTGTTGTTGACTTTGTTAAATATCAGTTGGTTACAGGTGTGTGGTATTATTTTGGCGTTCTCTATTCTGTTCCATTGGTCTATGTGTCTGTTTTTTTGTACCATTACCTTGCTGTGGGGTTACTGTAGACTTGTATAGCTTGAAGTCCAGGAATGTGATGCCTCCATCTTTGTGAAAAGCAGTTTGGAGATTTACCGAAGAACTAAAAACAGAACTATCATGTGACCAAGTAATCCCATTATTGGCTAAATTCCCAAAGGAAAATGTACTGTACTATCAATAAGACACATGCTTTCAGATATTTGTCAACAGCACTATCCACCATAGCAAAATCGTAGAATCAACCCAGGTGCCCATCAATAGTGGATTGGATAAAAATAAAATTGGTACATACCTACCATGGAATAGTACACTGCCATATAAATTCAAATATTATACTTTCCAGCAATATGGATGCAACTGGAGCCCATTACCCTAAGCAAATTAATACAGAAACAGAAAACTAAGTACCACATGATCTGACTTATAAGTGATAGCTAAATAGTAGGCACTCATGGACATAAAGATGGAAATAATAGACACAGGGAGCAACTAGAGGAAGGAGTGAAGGAGGAGGGCAAGAGCTGAAAAACTATATACTGGGTGCTACTCTCACTACCTAGGTGATGGGTTAAATCATACCCCAAACTTCAGCATCACATAATATACCTTTTTAACAAACCTGCGTGTGTATCCCTGAATCTAAAAAAACAATTGAAATGAAAACAAAAAGTGAAATGTAAACTATTTGGTTAATTATTACGGGAAAATGCAAGGAGACTAGTTAAATTTTACTCATTCAGGACATGTATTTTAGATTAGCTGAGGTAGAAAAACTGACAGATCAGAAGAAAGGATGAACAGAAGGAGGTGTGGGGGCCATGGTATTCTTCATGACAATTTGAATAACTTGTGAAGAAAAAAAGTTCTGATATTGAAGAGAAAGGAAAAGAAAAAATATTATGCCGAAATTGAAGACAAAGCCCTCATCTTGCTAGACAATGTGCTAAAGAACCCTGTGGCTGGACAAAAGTCTATCGAGACCCTACTTAATACGTACCAAAAGTCCACCAGTATGAAAGGTAAGATTGGTATTTTACAATGGATATCTCCATTTTTTTAGACTCTATTCAACTCCAAGGCCCATGCAGTGTCTTCTGTGATCTCTCTATCCTTCCTTTACAAATCTGTCATTTTCATTAAACCTGTGATTGTTCTTTAAGGGACTACCTTGCCTTTTGTGGGGTGGGATCCAGTTTCCAACTGGCTAAAAGGCTGAGTCCTCAGGTTCAGACTGTTCATAGAAATAATTAATAGTAGATGCTTTGTAGTAAGAGATACTCAAATCTAAACCTAGATTCTGTCAGTAAAGTATATGTCTTCCTGCATGTATCTTAAACGCTGTAGCTGACTAATCATCAGTCTTACCACATATAAAGCAGGGACAATTCCAGTCCTTTTTCATAAGACTATGTAAAGCTAGAGGCAATATAATGCCAGGCATCACATACCAACAACTTCCAAGATATTAGGCCTCATCCAGAACTCTCTCCTTGGAGCTCCAGATTCATTTAGCTGTAGCAGCATATTCAACAATTCCACTAGAGTGTTTCACTGGCATCACAAAATGAATACAGCTGAAATTAACCATTTTGTTTTCCAGAACAAACCTGTTCCACTTTTAACCCTTTTCCATTTAAGTAAAAAGAGCTAAAATATACTAAGTTTCTGCCACCAGAATGTAACTAGTTTCTTCAATAATTAATAGGAGTAAGTACTAGAGATCCTGGCACATAGCAGATACGTAATTAATATGTGATGAATAAACAGATGAAGTGTATGCATGCAATAAAGAGTAGTTTTCCTAATTATTATTAGGATGCTACAAATTGGAATTTTTCAGTGTTTACTCATTTCTGTGAATTAAAAAAATATGATTGGGGAACTCCTATAAAATGTTTAAATTTTATAACTTTTTAAAACTTTTGACTGTAAGATTATATTATGAGTATTATTAGAGTTTAAATATTCTCAGATCCATGTTTTTCAGGGATAGACAAAATTTTCCATAGAATTACACTGAAATCTGCAGCCCTGAACTACTAGAGTTTACCAATAATTATATATTATTTATCACGTACAATTCTCATATATAATGAGCACTAAATTCCAAAATGAAATAACCTTTCTGATCAGCAGAGGTTGTGGCAGGAAGGAGGTAGCTGCAGATACCTGCAGCAGGGGTCCAGTGGCTCCCTGCACTCTATCTGCATTTGGATTCTCCAGAGTGATGGATCCCAGGACGTTTTAGGGTCACTAGCCCAGCAGACCAGGAAGCAGGTTAACAAGGCTATTAGAAGAGGTCTAGGCCTTGGCCAGGCCTTTGGATATGGTTATAATTCTGAGGTTTTCCAGCAGAGCATTGGATTCTGAAGTTCAGGATAAGAAGAATCCTAGCTATTTGTTTGTTTCATTTAACAAACCAACATATATATATATATAAAATATTATATATAATATAATATATAGATACACACATAATATACATATATTATGCAGTATATAGAAATCACAGTTCCAAGACTGTGATTTAGTCAGAGACATAGCCATGTAAACCCCTACATGCCATGGCAATTGTTTGTCTGACCCTATACCACTCCCTCTCTTTTTGTCTCAATGTAAAGAGATTCCAGGGGAGATTCCTGAGAGAGTCCTATTTCATTACATAACAGATAAGACTCAAATTGAAATGCTTATCTAAACTCCTGATTTCCACATTTCTTTCTGTTGTACTGCTAGGCTAATAGAAACTCTCTTTGGGCAGCAATCTGCACTATAATATTTATAATATTGTAATAAAATAACCATTTTCATGCTAACTTTACTATAGGATATGAGAGAAATTTTGTCTAATTTTTATTTTACCTAAAATCACTTTATATATATATAGATAGATAGATAGATATACAGATGCATATATAGATGCATCTATATCTATGTCTCTATCTCTCTATCTATCTATCTATCTATCTATCTAGATGCATAAAGGTCATTAAAAGATGACTATTAACTTAGGAAATTCTCCAAACCTGTAAACAGGAAAACATACCCCCAGACCTGGAATATATCAGGACCCTGGATGTCTTCACATTGGCAGAACTTTCTGAAATGAGAAGGAGGAACATATGTCACTGTTTAATCTATGAAGAAATATATGCTTAGAAGGTTTGGTTTCCTTACATACTCTTAAAACTTGTTGCATCCCCAGAGATCAGGTTTTTATCATACACTTTAGCAAGATATTTATTCTAAAATATCATTAAAAACGAATGGAAACAAATGATTGAAATAGAAAAAATACATGAAATATAACAAAACAATATAAATTGTAGACAGGATAATAGTACTTTACTCATAGTTCCTATGTCTTGATTGGGTCATGTAACCAAACATAAATACTATGCCTGTCCATTCTTTTCATGAAAAGAAACCTTGTTATTATATCTTAGTAAACTTTTCTTCTAATTTGTATGCATGAATTCTTTTTTCTTTTCCAGAAGGAAGGCTCAAGAATCTCCCAGTTTCTTGCACAATATCAGTCAAAAGAGATGAATATTATATTTCACAAGGGGATAGATCAGAATGACTATTACAAACTTATCCAAAAGAGATATATTATTTCCTCACATTATAAAACACAAGGTAAAAAACTTAGTGTTGGTTGTTCAGCACTTTGGAGGCAAGACGTCCACATTTACGTCAGAATCTCGTACAAATATTTGTCCCTTTGACCTTGGACACAGTACTATTGTCACTAGACAACATTTCTTCTTTGAATAGCTGATTTCAAAATTTGTTAAAAGATATCTGAAACCCGTTTCTTCTAGAAAAGTTGGTCATTCACTTAAAGTTTGCTTTTAAAATACCAGGATGGTACAGAAATCAATATTCTGTTAAGTGTTTGCTGTATATATGTATCTGTGTGTGGTGTGGACTAGGAGGGAACTATTACTCCAAAATGGAATGTTGTCTCATCCAGTTTTGTAGCCACATGTACCTATTAAGTACTTAACTTGTGGCTAGTGGCACATGTTGATAGAGTAATGTTTTGTATAAATTATAATAAATATATTATTGAAATTAATTATACCTTTTGTAAATGTGATATTACAAAATTTAATATTGCATGTGGAACTCACATTGTATTTCAAATAGATAGCACTCTGAACAGGTATTTATTTAGTACACTCTTGCCCAGACACAGTAGAAAGTCCACATGGATGAATCAGTACCATACAGTAAAACCACTGGAAAAATCAAACTGTTTTTCTGAATAGAGGAAGGCCAAATGTAACCCTAAATCATCAAGATTTTTTTTGCAGAATGATCAGAATCTGTGATTGCATTTTTTGTGTGTGGAGGGATGGAGGGAGATTTCTGCTTTCTTTATCAGGGAATTCCCTTTTCTTCTTCAACAACAATACATTTCCTTAAGCTGGAAGTTAAGCACAGCTATAATCCCTACAGGCAAAGAAGTCTTTTTCCTAGGATTTCTCTCTCTCTTTCTCTCTGTCTCAACTTTCTTAGGTGATAACCTGGGTCACAGAGGCAGAAGACATCACTTATATTGTGTGATATCCCACAGCTCTTCCACAAATCAAAGCTGGACCACCTGAATCAGCAGAATCTACAAATACTCTCAAGCTTTGTCCTCAAGAAGAATTATTGAGACCGTAAAGAAAAACCTGGAGAGATGCTGTGCTCTGTTCATGAAATGGACAAAAGGAGAGAATCAATTGCTTTCATTAAATGCACTATTTTTAATGGGGTCTTGCTCTGTTGCCCAGCCTGGAGTGCCATGGTGTGATCATAGCTGACTGCTGTCTTGAACACATGGGCTCAAGAGATTCTGCAGCCTCAGCCTCTCAAGCAGCTAGGACTACAGATGCACACCACCATGCCAGGCTGATCATTTTAATTCTTGTAGAGACATAGTCTCACTGTGTTGCCCAGATTGATCTCTAAATACTGGCTTCATGAGATCCACTGCCTTCACCTCCCAAAGCACTGAGATTACAGGCTGGAGCCACAGTGCCAGCCATAAATGCACAAATACTTAAAGCACTAAGTGACTGGGGGTGATGACAGTAGTAACCTTTATCATAGATGCTTTCAGCAAGGAAGGGTTCATATGGCTTCAAAAAGATACCAATACTCATTCAACCCATGATAAAACGTAGATTCATCATTTTTTCATTTATTGATTCTTGTATCTATTTGAGATATATTACAATTTCAGCTATAGTCACAGAAGAAAAATAGTTACATGATAGCATAGCTGAGTAATAATTATTTGTACTCTGGTTGAAAAGCCTAGATGTGAAGCATATTTGAAAAATATAATTAAAGCTTAAAAAACAGTATGTTGATATTTTTTAAATAGTACAAATATAATCATAATATGGAAGGCAAACAACCTCTGCTATATTCATTTTTACTGGTGCAGATGACATCTCTCAGTTTTTATGAAATTTGATTTGAACCTGAATATAAGAAATGTTTGAGTAGATGCAGAAGAAAAATAAGAAGAAAGGGAGTAGGAATTATTCTAGTTTCTTTAAGATTCTTGACTAATCATCCAGATATGTCCTGGTTCTTGCTCTGGGCTCTTGAGAGAGAGGAAAGCAGTGTCTTTTGATAGAGGTTAGGGAAGAGGGCAGCTATACGAGGTTTTAAAAAAACAAAATTGTGAAACATATGGAGATTGAAAAGAGACTCAGGTAATCAAAGTCACTTCATCTCCATCTCCTGCAGATCAATCTAATAAAAAAAAAAACAGAAAGATCTGCAAATACCTGGCTCTCATTATAAGCAATACAAAGTTTGACTATCTGACTCCAAGGAATGGGGCTCACTTCGACATCACGGGAATGAAGGAGCTGTTTCAAGGCCTGGGCTTCTTCTGCCCCATACTTGATATTAGATGTGTGATTATATGTGTAATTAACTTAGCTACAGAGTTTTATGAGTAAGGAGAGTTAAGCCTAGCAATTTTGTAATATAGTAAGAACTACATGACATGATATATGTAGAAAACTAATTATAGTTCTGTTCATACTTAAATTGCTCAATAAAGATAATGATGACAACAATGATAGTGGTGATGTTGATGATGATAATGACGCAATTTGGTTGACCATGAAATAGGAGGAGTCAGCCACTTGACTGTAAGTATTATTTGGAAAGTATTTCCAAAAAGCAGAAGTGAGGGAGTGGGGAAGGGAGATGAAAGAAAGATAATATTCCAAAAAAATGCAATAATGAATTCATTACTGCTCTGAGAAACTGGGTTCCAGTCTTTCTTCAGGATTGTCTACAATTATGTAGATTCTACCTTACTAGAAGATGAGGAATTAGAGACATTCATCAATGGACTAATGCCATTCATTGGTTGAAATTAGCCCCCAGGAGAAGGTCCTCCCTCTCCTACAATTCTGGACCCACATATGCACAGCTAAACAGTCCTCAGTCCTTTGATGAACATCTTCGATCTTCAAAGCAGAAAGAACCTGAAGCACAGTGGCTTGATGTGTGACAACAACCACATGAGGGGGAGTCCCCACTACAACAGCACTAAAGTCAGGAGGGTTGAAGTGGTGTGTTATGTGATGACAATGATTTTTCTGAGTTACATAGTGAAAATAAACATCACATACTACATTGCTTATGAAACTTATGTTGCATTATTTATCCCTTAAATTTCCTTTCTTTTCTTAATCAATATAGTTATTACATCCTTTTACCCTCCCGTCTCCCTTGAAATAGATACATTTACTCAATGTTTTGAAATCCTTGTGGAAAAATGCTGTTGCTTTTCCTTACAAAAAATTTTCTCGTATGTAACATATATTTTTCTAGCATTACAGATATGTGAAGAATCATATTGAGATAAGAGGTAACATTACTACATTTGTGCTGTTCAATAGGTATTATTGTTCTTCAGACATTAAATTTAATCCAACAATTCTCCAAGGCAGGTAGTTGACAGATAGAGAAATGAGACTTGAAGTCAATGATCATACAAATCATTATATCAGTGTAAATTGGTGAGATTAATAATAATTTTTAATAATAATCTTAATAAAATTTACAGACTGTAAGTCTAATCTCAGGTCTCCCAGGCAGAGGCCACAAATACCAACACCATATAGGCTTGGCAGAGAACACACATTAAGTTAATCAGGTTAGGTGAACGCAGGAAAAATCAGAAGGCATAATGAATGCGTCATCAAGGACTCAGTACCAGGCAACCCTTTCCATGTTGAAATTCAAGCAACAGAGGCCTGGAATGAAACACTTTATTTGAAATCTTACAATTTTTTACCTCTGATAATTAATTCAATGTCAAGATAAATCACATCTGAGAGAGCCAAAGAAATATCACTGGGCTTATGATGGACTCTGTGGGTCACCAGTTTTTACTTCTGTTCTAGCACATGTGGTTGTTGTTCCATTTTCAGATTATAGATCCATGAGGTGAGGTTGCTCCTCACTCCATTGGCTAAGTCATCAATCTCTCTGAGAATCTGTTTTCTCATCTGCAAAATGGAACTAATAATACCTGTATTCATTTCCTAGGGCTGCCATGACAAATCACCACAAACAGGGAGGTTTAACTGGAAATGCATTCTCTCAGTTTTGGAGGCAAGAAGTTTGAAATCAGGGTGTCAGTAGAGTAGGGCCATGGCCGCCATCCTAACTACTGGTTGCCTCAATCAATCTTGGTGTTCCTTGTTTGCAGCTACATCACTCTATTCTCTGCTTTTGTCATTATATTGCTGCCTTCCCTCTGTGAGTCTGTGTCTTCACATGTTGCTCTTCCTGTCTGTCTTTGCTCCAGAGCCCCTTTTCTTTGGTATGAACATGAGTTGTTCCGGCTGATGGCCCTACACTAATCCAAAATAAACTCATTGTAACTGATTATATTTGCAAGGACCCTATTTCCTAATAAGAGCACATTCTGAGTAACTGGGGTGTAGGCCTTCAATATGTTTTTATGGTACACAATTCAACTCATCACAATGCCGAACTCAGAGGGCTGTTAGAAAGCAGTTATTCTTTGAAGTTATCCTATTACAGATACATTGTGCTTCTTCAATCAGTGGACACATATTTTTCCCCAGTTCTGAAAAATTTGCTTTAAATATTTTGTCTTTTCTATTCTCTCTCGTCTGTCTTTCTGGTAAGTTGATCAGCTATATCTCAGAGTTTCTCATTCCATCCTTCGTACCTGTGAAGCCTTCTCAAATTTTTCAGCCTCTCATTTCTGCTTTGATTTTGCAATCTAGATAAATTAGTATTAACCCATAAACAACAAGTATCTGAAATGCCTTGGTCTGCTTATACATGCATTTTATAAACATATAAACATATTGGAAAAATTTAGGAGATTTGCTACAATTTGAAGAAAATCACAAATCATCTACACTAGAAATACTGAAAAATTAAGTTAGGTATGTAAAAAATGCACAAAATTTATGGAGTTGTTAAGTCTATTTTATCATTTACTACTATATTATAAAATATACACAAATCTATTATAGAAAGCTAAAGTTTATCAAAGTTTATGCACTCATAGATAAAACATAGTACCACTTGAAAAGAGAAATGTAAACAAATATAAAGATACAGTATTAAATCCTAACTGCACAAAATTAACCATGGATACTGTACTCCCATATTTTCATAGCCATTTCCTGCTGCTATTTCAGTGAACTCAAGTTTTGTATCTGCTTAAAATGCCATGTGACACTCATTATCTCTACATCAGCAGTTTGTATCTCCAGTAAATTTCATATTGCTATAAAAAGCAGTATCCTTGGGTTTTTAATGTATTTTTCGTTGCATTTACTGCAACACCATAATTCTCGAATAACAGCACGGGGTCCAGACAACATACCAATACTGATGGTGTAATGTTCCCAAGAAGCAATGTCATGACATTACAAGAAAAAGTAGAACTGTTTGATATGTACTGTAGATTGAGATCTGGATTTGTGGCTGCTCACCATTTCAAGATAAATGAATACAGAATGAAGACCAATGTAAAAAAATAAAAGGAGATAATAAAGCTATCACTGCACTGTGCCTGCCAGTGCCAAAACCTTGCACTATTGTGAAACAATTTTTAATCTTGTATTGAAATTGAAGGGTGTAAGTGGTGGCAGAATTTTCATATGAAAGGTATATTTATAGACTCTAATATGATTCCAGAAAAAATGAAGTTATTTTATACAACTTAAAGGAAAAGAAAGGGGAAGGATCTAAAGGTGGATACTTTAATGATAGCCAAGGATGGTTTGATAATTTAAAGTGCTTTTGCATTAAAAATGTCAAGACATCAGGGGATGCAGCTTTTGGTTATCAAGAGGCAGCAGATTGGTTCCCAGAAACTATTAAGAAAATCATTGAAGAGAAACTATACTACTGGAACAGGTTTTGAATACAGGTGACAATGTTCTAGTCTAGAAAAAAAGATGCCAAAAAGGCCATTTGTTAGTAAGAAATAGAAGCAAGCACAAGGATTTAAAATAGAAAAGGATAAGCTAATTTTACTGTTTCATGGGAATGCAGTCAGGTTTATCATCAGGACTGCTCTTATCTATAAAGCTACTAAGCCCTGAGCCTTGAACAGAAATGGTAAACACTAGCTGCCAGTGTTTTGGTTGGACAACAAGAATGCCTGTGCAATGGGAGCACTTTTTCTCTATTGATTCCTTTCATGCTTTGTCCCTGAAGTCAGAAAATATTTTGCCAATAAGGGACTGCCCATTTATGATTCTTTTGATGTTGGACAATGCCCCTGGCTACCCAAAACCTCATTAGTTCAATTTGCAAAAAATCAAAGTGGTCTACTCGCCACCAAATGAAACGTCTCTAATTCAGCCTCTGAATCAGGAGGTCAGAAAGAACTTTAATGCTCATTACACATGTTACTCTATGAAAAGATTTGTGAATGCCAAGGAAGAGACCATCGATAGAGATGACATCATGAAAGTCTGGAAGGGCTACACCACTGAAAATGACATCATTGATATTAAAAAATTAAAAGCCATGATTTTGGGTGCAGTGGTATGGGCCTATGATCCCAGCTACTAAAGAGGCTGAGGTGGAAGGATAGCTTGAGTCCAGGAGCTTAAGGCCAACCTAGGCAACATAACAAGACCCCGATAAATTTCTGCTAGAGAAAACTGTTTCCAGAAGTTGTCCATGACTTCACCAGCGTTTATGAAAAAGCCAATCAAGAAAAT